>NC_000005.10:22429032-22732063 GCF_000001405.40 Homo sapiens | reverse complement strand
TATTGCAGCTGTAGCAAACAGAAGAAGACTTCAGCATACGAAGTTTGGGAGAAACAGTTCAACCCTTAGTTTCTCTCAGGGTTTCTTTTTGTTTTCCTTCATTATTGTTGCTATGTATTTAGGCAAATGTCTTGGCTTCCCTTTAATTTAGGTTATTACTAAGTTCATGTTTAAGCAATTCAACTATGCAATTTTAATTATTTAAGAGGAATTTATTTTTTAGCTAAGTCATGCCATAGTTTTGTATGAAAAACTGAAAGATGTTTAGAGAACAATTCTCTTGTTGCAAAGTGATCCAGAAGGCAAAAAGAGGTCCAACTGTGACAATTTAGAAGGACATGTAAATTCACTGTAAAGGAGGATATTCCAAGAATTAAACATTTCCAACAATATTGCCTATACTTCCATAAGTAAACTTGAAATGCTGAGAGATCAAATATTCATTAAAAAGGATATTGAAGAATGCAATTGAGATTTTGTAGAAAGTTAACTAGGTTACCTCCATTAATTCTCCAACTCAAACATTTTAGTCTTTTGTCTTATAGTAAATGAAAGATGTGTATCTACTAATTTTCACATTTTAACTTTCATTAAGTGATTGAGTTCTATATATGACTTCATATAGGAAATGAAAAGTAGGTAATTTAATATACATCAACTTTTATGAAAACGCTAATGTTTTAATGACAATAGTACACTTACTAATTTTATAATCCATAACATCCATAGTTATTTTTGGGCTTATTTCCTTTTTTACATAAACTTTTATTTCAAACACCACCTATACCTAGCTCACAATAGCTCTTAAAACACTGGTTCTTAAACTTGATTGCATATGAGAATCACTTGGGAAGTGATAACCAAATAAGTGAAACCTGAATAATAATTGGGTCTTATCTCCAAAGATTCTGATTAATTGTGGTAAAGTCAGACAGAGGATTTTAAACAATATCTTCTAAGAAGTCCAAAGTGTGGTAAAGCTTAAGGCCACAGTCTTAAAGGATGCTTTTGATGAAAATGAAGAAGAGTAAACACATCTGAACACTTGATTTAGGAGACAGCACGTCCTTATTCTTAGCAACAACATCTTTCTAATCTTTCAATTGGGTTATGTCTAATACAAAGTGTTAAATCTGATTAGCGACATAAAGGAATTTCTAATGGTTGCTATTTCTTCTGTTTTAATCTTTTATTGTGTCTATTGTAGTTTTATTTTTCTTACAGGGAATCATTTTTATGTATAAAAGGAATAAATTATGTATAATAGGAAAAAGAACTTTTAAATAACCCAAATTAAAAAAATCATTTTTCCTACAATTGATTTTTTTTCCATTGTTGGTTTCTACACATCTAAACACCAATTGTTAAAACTTGAGAGTTCCCAACTTCAATGTGAACAAAGGATTTGAACAGCTACATCTGTTCAGATCTCACAGATGGCCTTTTGTGCTGTTTTCTGAGTTCTTCATAATTATTTGTGACACTGTTCTTTGACAGAAGGTGTGAATGTACTGAAACATTATATTTTAACTTGAATTCAAACATGTTCAACAATGTTTAAGGTAAAAGCTGCAATGATATCTGCTGAATATGTAGCTCTAGGACTCAGATTACTTTTTTCTGACATTGTCTACTGCCTACTGCTGAGATATTTTTTGAAAGTATTTTTATGGACTGGAAAAACAAAACAAATATAGCTCATGAAAAACTGATCTCGGGGCAAAACAATTTGTTTTGGACATGATTGGGTCTTATCCTCTTAAATTATTTTCTAAATATCTACTCCAGAATGTCATAAAAGTCAAGACTAAAGAAGGATAAAATGAGTTAATTTCACTGATGTCATTGCTGGGTTTTTGTTGTTGTTGTCGTTGTTGTTGTTTTCATTTTATTTAAATATCTAGTTGTAACTTACTGGCAGAATTGATATCAGAAATATAAAATGAGGTCCAATATTTCAAAAGATGTATTTTCCTTAGAGATAAAAACACAGGTAAATAGCTTGCTTTCCTGTTTAATTGTAGTTTTTTGTAATATAAACACATTATACTAAAGTCTGATTAATAATAACTAACATTCTGAAAACTTACATTTACTGTAGAAGTTTTAGTGCTCTGAATAATTTTGTATATGTTCATTTAATCCTCATAATAATTCAATATGGTAGGTAATGTCACTTCAAATTAATAGATAAAGACAGAACCAGAACTAAATGAAGAACATTGCAGAGAGCCGTATAGAAGTCAGTGGAAACCTGAAACTGAATTTAGCCAATCACATAGGCTGGCATTCTTACCTGCTGTGCTGGACAAGAAGAGAAAACTACAAGACAAACTTTTAATCATAAACTAAAATTCTACTAAGAGGATTTCTACTTCCAGTAGTGACAGAATAAGTATTCAGTCTAATGCTTCAGCTGTAAACACCAAAAAACTGAAAAAATATTAAAGAGAAACAAATCCTTCCTAGATGCACTGGTGAATGTGGTAGAAGTACAGTCCCCAAGATGATTCTATGCCTTAATTCCTGGGCTGGCAAGTATGCTATCATACCCATGCATTTGTTACAGTCACAGGGACCTTCCAGATATAATTAAGATCACTAAACAGTTGGTCTTAAAATAGGGAGATCATCCTGGCTTACCCAGGTAGTGCAATGTAATAACATGAGCCCTTAAAAGCAGAAGCTGAAGAGGAATTCAGAGATTTGAAGCATGAAGAGGGATTCATCATGCCCTGGATGGCTTGAAGTTACAGGGAGCCATCGAACAGATAAGAAGGAAATAGCTTTCCTCAACAGGGAATTTGGAAAGGATCCTGAAACTGAGATGAGAACCACGCCCCTGTTGCCACCTTAATTTTGTCTTTATGAGACCCTGAGAAAAATCCTGCCATGATCTGCCTTGATTTCTGACCCACAGAAACTGTTAAAAATATATATATTGTTATTCTGAGCTGCTAAGTTTGGGATCAATTGTTGTTGCAACAGTCATAGAACATTCATTAATACAGAGGCTAACATGGTAATGAGGAACTGCTGGTCTAAAATTCTGAAGTAATCCAGCATGTGGGAATGCTTTTACCTTGGAGACATTTGCTAATCCAGAGGAGACTAGGAGGCTGTTATGGATTGCATGCTTTTGTCCCCTCAGAACTGATCTATTCAAACCCTAAGCATCAATGGTATGGTACTAGGATGTGGGGCTGTGTGTGGGTAATTAGGTCATGACGGTGGAGGGCTCAAGCTAGAATTAGTGACCTTATGAGATGAAATATGAGAGAGCTTGCTTCCTCTCTCTCTCTGCTCTCCGCCACGTGAGAACACAGCAAGAAGACAGCCATATGCAAATTAGGAGGCTGACTCCTAACAGACACTGGATTTGCCGCATCTTAGACTTCAGCATCCCAAAATATTTATCTTTCCCACAATGACAGTAATCCTGCAGTTCTCAAATAATGTATCAAAGGTTTC
Source organism: Homo sapiens (assembly GCF_000001405.40). NCBI lineage: Eukaryota > Metazoa > Chordata > Mammalia > Primates > Hominidae > Homo > Homo sapiens. Next base: position 22,728,592 of record NC_000005.10, on the reverse strand, counting down.
CCAGATGGCCAGTACCTGTGGATGCCTAGGAGAAGCAAACAGAATTTTTTTCCTTGAATAATTTAATATTATTTTAAGTCCTCAAGGTATTACTACAGAGTTTTATGAATGAAATATCCAGCACGAAATATAAATAGATAAAGCAATTGAGGAGATAAAACAACGTGAATGACTACCGGAAGAAACAAGATCACAGAAACAGACTCAGATTCTATTTATCTCCTTGTAAGTAGAATCATCATAGAATTTAAAATAACTACCTCATCTACTCAAGAGAAGTTAAATGACAAGATTAAAAATTTTGGCAGTGATTCAGAAAATCAAAAGTTACATGTCAGAATTCAAAATCTGCCACATGGAAATACTAGAACTGGGAAAAAAAATAGCTGAAATTAAGAATTCAATCAATAGCTTTTAAAGTAAATAGATAAAATGAAGAAATAATTAATGATGGGAGGAAATAAAAGGATAAAAAATTGCAAGAGATTTAATATATATTGACAGTAATATTAGAAGAGATAACATATTTAATTGAAATCTCACATTATAATAAGATAACAAATGGTGAAGTAGTTAAATTTGGAAAATTTTGACTAAAATTTATTAGAAATGGAGGCAACAACAATTTCTAAATTGAAAAAACTCAACAACTTTTCAGTGAAATAAATTCAAGGAAATTCACAGCTAAACACAGCAGTGTCAGAATGCAGATAACAAAAGTAAAATAAACGAAAACCTCCATAAGAAAAATGATACACTACACTCAAGGGAACAACTGAAAGATGACTTCAAAAAAAGAAACAATAGAAGCCAGAGACTATGGAACATCTTCAATGTGATGAAATAAACGATTAAAAAAAAAGTCAACCTAGAATTCCTTTACCTAAAATATCCTCCAAGAATAAAAGTGAAATCAAAACATTTTCAGGCAGAAGAAAAAGGAATTTATTACCATGAAGCCACACTAATAAATACTATTCTCCTAAAGGAACTCTAGAGTATATTGCAAAGATCTAGAAGTGACAAAGAGAAATGAAATGCTAAATATGCAAATCTAAACGAGTAATGACTATATAAACAACAATGTCATATATAAATAGTGAAATAGTATGTGAAGTATGGATATGATTACTAGAGGTATAATTTTCTTGTCTTTTCTAGCAAGATGAGTTACAATACCAAAAAAACCCACTAAATTGTACTTTTTAAAAGTTAATAATAAGATAGAAGGAGTAAAAAGGGTTGTCCTCCCAATCTTCTTTTAAAAATATTTAATAAGAAAAAATACAAATGCAGACTAATTAACAGTCAAATATGTAAGAAATTGATATCCTACTTAACGTTTTGTCTGATTATACTTAGTGCTGGTAGAAACATTCATGATAGACCTATTCAAGCTCCTGTTAATTGGCTTTTCTATATTGCAAGTTCCCAGTTAATTCTTAGTCACACACCCAATAAAGGTCAGAGTGAAAAATTTATGTTCATAATTCAGCTAATAAACAAATGCCTTGTACTCCTATTATATACAGATTGGACATAATATCTCCCATTAATTCATTTCATCTGATTGTAATAATTGTTTAAATAGTATCTGAAAAATGCCTTAAGGACGCTAAAGGACAGAAGTACATAATACTAGAGTAATATTACATATTTTAAGAGAATAAGAGTGTTTATAAAGTAAAACAATATATAAGTATTCTTTTGGTTTTTATTTGAATATATAATCCACTGCTCTAGCAATCACTATAGGTCCTGTTTGTATTACTTCTATAATGAAGGTCTGAGATTATTTTTTTGTCCAGGAAGAAAGCTCTCTAAGAATACTCAGGCTTTTCAAGAACAGGTTCAATTGTATTGTGATAAGCATAGAGCTATTGTAAACTCTGATATATGTTCTGTTGTAAAAACATCATGTGACACTACACACTTATAACAATGGCCAAAATATAAAACAGTAACAACAACAAATGCTGCCTGGAATGTGAAGCAATAGGAGCTCTCTTTCATTGCTGGAGGAAATACATTATGACACAGCCACTTTGGAGGAGAGTTTAGCAGTTTCTTAAAAAATGAAACATATGTTTACTATACTATCCAGCAATCACACTTCTTGGAATTTACCTAGGTAATCAATATGTCTTTCAGTAGGTGAATGAATAGATAAAAATACATCTAGACGATGAATTATTATTTAGCACTAAAAAGGAATGAGCTATCAGGCAACAAAAAGACAGGGAGGAAACTTAAAGGCATATTTCTAAGTGAAATAAGCCAATCTGAAAAGGCCATATAACATATAATTCCAACCATATGACATTCCAGAAAAGGAAAAACTATGAAGACAATCAAAGGATCAATGGTTGCTAAGGTTTAGGGGCAGGGATGAATGAATACATGGAGAACAGAGCATTTCGAAGGTAGTGGAAATACTCTGTATGATATTATCATGATGAATATGTGTCATTGTACATTTGTCATAACACATAAAATATATAACAAGAAGGGGCCTTAATATAAACTACAGATTGATAATGATGTGTCAATGTAGGTTCATCAGTTGCAACGTATGTGCCACTCTGGTGCAAAATCTTGATAGTGGGGACAGAAAACTCTGTATTCTCCCCTAAATTTTGCTGTAAAACTAAAGCTGCTTGAAAAATAATGTTCATTTAAAAATAAAAGTGGAAAAGATCATGTCGGAGTGTAAGTTATAAAACATATATTTATGTTTTACATGAGGATAAAATTCTATGGACCTCAATTTAGTTTCTGGTGTTTGTCTCATGACCTTAAAAGAATATGCATCTACTAATGTCACTTTCTTTGGAAATGTGCTGCTATAGTCTGAATGTTTTTGTCCCTAAAAAATTCATATGTTGAAACCTAATCCACAGTGTGGCAGTATTAGGAGGTAGGGCCCTTGGGATATGATTAGATCATGAGGATGGGGCCCTCAAAAGTGAGATTAGTGTCCTTATATATATAAAAAAAAATGGCTTGAAGGACCTGCCTCTTCTCGTCCACCAAAATAAATTTCTGTTGCTTATAAGATACTTAGTCTATGATATTTTGTTACAGCAGCCCAAATAGGCTAAGACACGTGTATTGTAGATTTAGCTGATTGTTATATTCAATTCATGCTGAATGACTAGATCAGAGTTAAAGAATAAAAGAGATTGAGCTAGATTAACTTCAATACTATAATAAACAGTATCAAGGTTCTCAGCACTTTCTGTTTCCCCCATAGGGGAAAAATATGGCTCATCCATTGTATATATTATCAATAGCTACTATCATAAATTTAGATTATACTTTATACATGATGAAATACGTTCACATAATATTTTATTTCATCCTTTATAAAAACACAAACCACTAAATTAAAGAGAACAGGTAGACAAGAAAACTGAAGCACAGAGAGAATTTAGGTGTGATGTCATAGAGCTAAAATTTGCCAGAATCACACTCAAATCCGGATTTTTCTCATGTTTTACTATATTCCAGTTCATAGAAATAAACATGAAAGTTGATGCATAAAGTCTATAAGAATCACCTCAAAGATAGCAAAGTCCCAACACAGTAAAATTAAGTTGATAATATTTCCTATTACTGGAAACGTGGTGTTCTGAGTGTTCTCATAGGTTCCTGATGAAAATATTATTGGTAAAACTGTTTTGGAAACTATTTTTTTAATTTATATAGAAATTTTTTAAATTAAAAGTTATTAACTTAGTAACAAGATATTTATTCCAGTATATTCACAGCCATAATGATGATAGCAAGAAAGTGGAAACAATCTAAAAATAGAGAAATTATTAGATCAGTTATAATATTTTTAAAAGATGGAACATTATGCCATCATTTAAAACAATATCTTTAACACATGCACACACATGCTTAGAGCAGCACAATTCACAATTGAAAAGATATGGAACCAACCTAAGTGCCTATAAACCAACAAATGGATAAAGAAAATGTGGTATATATACACCATGGAATACTACTCAGCCATAAAAATGAATGAAATAATGTCTTTTGCAGCAACTGAAATGGAGCTGGAGGTGATTATTCTAAGTGAAGTAACTCAGGAATGGAAAACTAAATGTCATATGGTCTCACTTATTAGTGGGAGCTAAGCTATGAGTATGCCAAGGCATAAGAATGATATAATGCACTTTGGAGACTCGGGGGAAAGGTTGGAAAAGTGATGAGGAATAAATGACTACATACTGCATACAGTGTACACTGCTCAGGTGATGAGTGCACTAAAATCTCAGAAATCAACACTAAATGACTTACCCATTAACACAAACTCACCTGTACCCCAAAAACAATTGAAATTAAAAAATTTTAAAAATTAAAAATAATATCTTTAAAAAAATTTAATGACATCAAAATACAAGTTTAGGGGAAAAAGTGAAGTAGTATGTTAATGATAGATAATTCTAAACTCTGCTTCAGTGATTATAAATTCCAACCCCAATTCCAGGGTACCTAAGTTGACAGCCCATCTTTTGCAATTGCTACCTATGTGACGCTAAGAATTTAACATAATCTTTCTGTGCCTCAGTTTGCTCAATTGTAAAACTGAGAAAACGGTATCACGTATTAATCAAGTTGTTGAGAGAATTAAGAGGACAGCAGAAGAGTTTCCATTACACAGTATGTGAAATGTTTGTGTGTTATTATAACCCTATGAGCTGAGTGTGCGATTACTATCTTCCATCTCTGTCAGATGTTGTTTCCAGAAACTGTACATCAAGAAACCATTGGAAATTAGTGACACCATCACTTATTAGTGCCAAATACATAGTTAAATATTAAGTTACCTCCTTCTCCTTCTCCACTTGTAATTATCTGAATAAATCTTTAGAAAACAGGAGGGGAAAATAAACTAGCTTTTCTTAAAATTATTGTCTCAAAATTTAGAATCAACACTAAAGGTTATGAAGGTTCTAGACTTCTAGAATGATGATTGTGCCAGGAGGTATCCCAAGCTTTAGAGCTCTGTCTAGAATAAGGGGAATGTTTTTGTGTTGTCTGTCTCTAATGCCTTCACAGCAATCTTAACTCTTAGCTCTTGACTAAACTGCTGCTTTACATTTAATATTATTATAGATATTGCTCTATCTACTATCAAGCCAAAATTTAATGTTAACACTTTTAACTCATCCTCTGTCTTCTGTTACATTGGGCACATTACAGAAATGCATAAAGACTTCTATAGTCTGGAAAATCTTATGTTATACTTTGTACTTTTCATACAAAGTAAAACGTATAAACGCTTTGTGTAAAACTGACATGGTGATGTGTATTTGAATGAGGGATGTGTGAAGAAGTGAGTTTATTTTTTCTTCCAACCCCTTTCTACCTTTTGTACCTCTGTGAATTTGTGAAATTTTCTAAAATGAGCATGCCTTGCATTTGTAAGAAGAAAAGGACTATAAAATGAAAGCCTTATAACCCTTTTAAAGAAAAGAATTAGCAATTACATTTTTTACAGTAGCATTATATTTTCTGATTTCCTGTGTAGACATATTGAGTTATATTGCTCCTCAACCACAAAGTGCTTTTCAGTGTTTACCTGCTATATTTAAAGGAATGCCTCCAGTGAAATGAAGCTTCATTTAGGGTGATATTTTACATAAATTCTGTGCCTCAATGATGCAACAGGAATAGGAACAGCAGAATTACACACTTTGCTCACATACAACTCAAGGTGCATAAACACATATGGACAGAAACACAAATTTAGCACCAATTTTAGAGTTTTCCTTTAGAGAGCAGTTATTTTCATCTGCACATTCATTCTTCTTTTATATTTGATATGCAAGCACACACAATTTCCTGAGTGAATATGGATATACATCTGTTTCAAGGGGACATATGTATGATGTAGCTGAAGGCTGCAACTATGTGTACGCATATTTGGCAAGACATCTGGGTAGATTTATTTTACCTAATTTGACATTGCAAAATTCATCTATATCACTTGAACTTGTGAGTATTTAAATCAATTGTAGGCTCTTGATTCTGCCCTGACATGAGATTTATATCATTATGCACATTTTATCATAGTTATTTATCATAGTTATAATTGAATATATAAGGGAGAGTCATTATGAATTTTAACTGTATAACTTAAGGGAAAATCTTTCTTTATTGTTTAAGTCCCTGCTCCATATAGTAGTTTTTAAATAGAGTGCCACAACGTGGCTTTGTGATATAACTCTGCAAGGGACTTGGTTGTAACTTGCTAGACAATAAGCAAAACACCACCACATACTCTGATTTTCTGTGTTTCAGGCTACTTAACTGGAGCAGAAGCATGCTGACTGCATGCCAGGCAATATGCTTGCTGCTTGGGGTATAGGGTTGCATAAGAGATGTTAGTGTTTTCTAGAAACTCAACAAACAGTAGGGAAACAAATAACTACAGCTTGATCAGGTAGGTTCTGTAATCCATGTTACAATTGTCACAAAGGTTAGAGGAGACACCTGAGGGTGTAGCCAAAGAGAAAAGGTGACATATGTCAGCAAAACCTGGGGGAGCCAATTTAGAAGTGTCTGTACTAGTCCATTTTCACACTGCTGTAAGGGACTGCCTAAGGCTGGGTAATTTATAAAGAGGTTTAATTGACTCACAGTTCTGCATGGCTGGGGAGGCATCAGGAAACTTACAATCATGGCAGAAGGAGAAGGAGAAGCAAGCACCTTCTTCACAAGGCAGCAGGAAAGAGAGTAAGCTAAAGAGGAAGAGCCCTTTATAAAATCAACAGATATCATGAAAACTCACTCTCTATCATGACAACAGCATTGGAAAAAGCTGCCCCCATGATCCAATCACCTTCCACCATGTCCCTCCCTCAACACATGGGGATTACAATTCAAGATGAGATTTGGGTGGGAAAACAGAGACAAACCATATCATTCTGTCCCTGGTCCCTCTCAAATCTCATGTCCTTACATTTCAAAACCAATCATGCCTTCTCAACAGTCCTCCAAAGTCTCAACTCATTTCAATATTAACTCGAAAGTCCATAGTCCAAAGTCTCACCTGAGACAAGGCAAGTCCCTTCCACTTAGAAGCCTATAAAAAAATTAAAAGCAAGTTAGTTACTTCCAAGATACAATGAGGGTACAGGCATTAAGTAAATGCTGCCATTCCAAATGGGAGAAATTGGCCAAAACAAAGGGGCTATAAGCCCCATGCAAATCCGAAATAGAGCAGGACAGTCATTCAATCTTAAAGCTCCAAAATAATCTCCTTTGACTTCATGTCTCACATCCCAGGGCATGCTGATGCAAGAGGTAGGCTCCCATGGCCTTGATCCACTCCACCTTGGCCCCTTTTAGCCACAGCTGGAGCTGGAGCAGCTGGGGCACAGGGCACTAAGTTCCTAGGCTGCACAGAGCAGCAGTGGGGCCCTGGGCCGGGCTCATGAAACCACTATTTCCTCCTAGGCCTTCAGGCCTGTGATGGGAGGAGCTGACACAAAAGATCTCTGACATGCCCTGGAGACATTTTCCCCATTGTCTTGGCTATTAACATTCAGTTCCTTGTTACTTATGCAAACTTCTTCAGCTGGCTTGAATTTCTCCACAGAAAATAGGTTTTTCTTTTCTACCACATGGTTAGGCTGAACATTTTCCAAACTTTTACACTCTTCTTCCCCTTTAAACATAAATTCCAATTTCAGATAATCTCTCCCAAGTTCAAAGTTCCGCAGATGTCTACAGCAAGGGCAAAATGCCACCAGTCTCTTTGCTAAACCATAGCAAGGGTGACCTTTGTTCCACTTCCCAATGAGTTCCTCATTTTCATCTGCAACCACCTCAGCCAGACTTCATTGTCCATATCACTAACAGCATTTTGGTCAAAACCATTCAACAAGTCTCTAGGAAGCTCCAAACTTTCCCACATCTTCCTGTCTTCTGAGTCCTCCAGGACCCTAGGAAGTTCCAAACTTCCCACATCTTTCTGTCTTTTTCTGAGCCCTCCAAACTGTTCCAACCTCTGACTGTTACCCAGTTCCAAACTCACTTCCACATTTCAGGTTATCTTTATAGCAGTGCCCCCACTCTCTGCAGCACCAATTTCCGATATTAGTTCATTTTCACGCTGCTATACAGAACTGCCTGAGACAGGGTAATTTATAAAGAAAAGAAGTTTACTTGACTCACAGTTCTGCAGGGATGGGGAGGCATCAGGAAACTTACAATCATGGCGCAAGGTGAAGGAGAAGCAAGTGTCTTCTTCACAAAGTGATAGGAAAGAGTAAGCAAAGGGGGAAAAGCCCCTTAAAAAACCATCGGATATTGTGAGAACTCACTTACTATCACAAAGACAAAATTGTGAGAACTCACTTACTATCACAAAAAGGAAACTGCCCCCCACGATTCAATCACCTCCCACCGGGTCCCTCCTTCAACACATAGGGGTTACAATTTGAGATAAGATTTGAGTGGGGACATGTAGCCAAACCATATCAGTGTCACAAAGATATTTTCTATGCTGTTTTCTTCTGTGTGTGTGTGTGTGTGTGTGTTGTGTTTTTGTGAATCCTAGTGCTGAGGCAGCAGTTTTTTGGTTGAAAAGACAAACACATATTGCATGGCCCCAAGTGTCTTCAAGGAGGGTTGGAGGAAGCAAAGAAGCTGCTGTGAAGACTTCTTTCCCCAGGGGCTCCCTTTCCTGCTCGCTTCTGGCTATCTGCCTACTCTAACAGAGAGACCAAGTAACATGTCCAAGCTAATATTTCCAATTATAGCAAAGGGAAGAATCAAAGATCTTTTTGGAAACCATGTAGAGTCCACTAAACATTGTAAGTGAAATAAGGAACAGTATTTTAGGATCTATAAATTATGATTATTTTCCCTGCCCTGTAGCCTCCTCTACCCCCAAAATGACATCTAATACCTTGCTGCCTCCTGCACTTAGCAAAGCATATCCAGAAATTATGGCCCACATGGAGGAATGTTTCATAATCCCAGGACATTCCTATTAAATATTTTTGATGTGCTCCCTCATTCTCTGAACCATGCACCTGGCCCAAGAAATGCCACTAGACACACATTTGCAGTCACATGCATTCACGTCCTCATGACCACATTAACTTTACTTCACTAGGCAAATGCAAAGGATGGAAGGCTATCTTTTCCACATTTGCTATTCTCTCAGGAAGAATGTTGAAGGGTTCTACCATCACCGTAACCATCTATTCCATGATTCTGATTAGATCAATCTAGTTATATTTTCATTTTTGATTGTTATTTGTTTACAACTACCAATCAAGGCTTTACATACCATTATACATTTAGCACTATACTTTGTAACAAGCAGGGATGCCAACTCTTAGCATAAGTTTATAAATATGATATAGATAACAATGCCTTTTAGTGTCCACAACGACTTAAGCCAAACTGCAAAGGCTGAGGGAACCATCCCCACAAGACTGCCCTCACTTCAGATAGCAGCCATAAACTGGGTGTCTCCAGGACCACTTCTACCTCAGACTAGCTGGCTATCAATTTGGGGCTCCTCACAACCACCATCGGGTGGGATAATTCACTAGAATAACCCACAGAACCTCAGTAAAAGCTCTATATTTACAATTACAGTTTTATGATAGTGAAAAGACTCAAAATCAGCGAAGGAAAGAGACACACAGGGCAAAGTCCCAGAGAGATCCACATGCAGAGCTTCCAGTCATTCTCCCTCTTGGAGTCACAGATGGGTTTAGCATCTTTTGGCCACAATGCATGGCAATACACAGAGGAATGCCCCCTAGAATGCTCACTGGAGGTTTTAGTGTCTTCAGTTCTTACTGCAGTTTGATCCCCTCATGCCTGCCTCGCTGGCCTTTAGTTTGCAGCCCTTCCTGGAGATTCAGACCAATACTTTGAGTCTCCATTGTCTCTGGAGGTCAAGACTGATATCGAGTGACCCTGAGCTCCCACCATACTTCACAGTGTTATACTACACAGTGGGCAATGTCCCTGGGCAAAAATATTCTTAACAGGGCTCTCTCTCTCAGTAAGGATCTTACCCAGTGGCCCAGAAATTTAACTTAAGAAGTTGATAATATTTCTAATACCTTTACTTGGTTTGTTTTCATCAACCGTTATTCCTTAAGCCAAAGCTCAGTGACATGGAAACAACGATCATGAGATATTTCCCTTTCATTCCCAGTACATGTGTCACTAGATGTCAGGCACCTTTTTCACATTTATGTAAAGCATGTACCATTCATAAATTACTAGAGTTCCCACTTTAAGAGGTGTGGGAGTGGGGGTGGATGGAAAGAGTAGTATGATTTTTCAACCCAGTGTTTGCCATTGAATTTTTTCAGGCTAAGGCACAAAGTATAGCTTTCTGTAATCTAAATTCTATAACTGGATATTTACATTACTTTCTCAATACCTAAACTGATGTTCTTTTCAGGAAATGATAATTGAGCATTTGATGAATTTGAGTAATTTTCACAATGAATGTGTATTTAATAAACATGTATTAGCTAAAATGGGCATTCTTAAAATGCATGAGGCACACAGAATATGAAAGCATTAGCTGATTCTCGGGCTGTACTTACAAATTAAACACACAGGCCAAAAGACAGAAAATTATCTCAATTAAAACAGAATTCTAGCTACAGAAGATGCTTTTTTTTTCTTTGTGGATGTAGATATTAGTTTTTAGGCAAGATCAGGACACAAGGTCTGTCTGAAATAAGAAAATATTTGAGCATTTTCTTATTTCTCTCTAATCTTGGCAGGAAGTGGTCCCCCAATTGCAAACCTCAGGCAACAATACACTAACTGTAAAGAACATGTATTCTTAGAACAAATAGAAGTTTACCTCTCCCATCCTCAAACACACACACCTTACTACATAGTCTAAGTATTCATTCCAAACACAGACAACTCCTTAAGAAATGAACTCCAGAAAACATGTTTTTCTTCTTATTGGATATCGACCCACCACTTCTAAACTTGCCTGGCATTTTGGGTCACATTTGTGTATCCTTTCTACTGTAGAAAATATACTCCACTTGCCTATACAGATATGCCATCACTTAATGAGAGGTATATGTTCTGAGAAACGTGTCCTTAGGAAGTTTTGTCATTGACTGAACATCAAAGAATGGATTTTCACAAACCTAAGTGGTACAGCCTACTACACACCTAGGTTATATGGTATAGTCTGTTGCTCCTACGTTACTGATCTATGCAGGATTTTACTGTGCTAAATACTGCAGGCAACTGTAACACATGGTAAATATTTTTGTGTATTTAAACATTGAAATGACACAGTAAAAGTGAGGTAAAAGATTAAAAAAAAAGGTTCACCTGTATAGGGCATATACCATGAATGGAGCTTGCAGTACTGGAAGTTGCTCTGGGTGAGTCAGTGAGTGAGAGGTGGGTGAATGTGAGGGCCTAGGACATTCGTGGACACTACTGTAGACTTTATCAACACTGCTTGGGCTACACTAAATTTATCAAAAACATTTTTCTTCAGTAATAAATTAACTTTAGCTTCCTATAACTACTCCACTTTACAAACATTTTAATATTTTTAACTTTTTGGCTCTTGTAATAGCACTTAGCTTAAAACACAAACACATTGTACAGCTATACAAAAATATGATATCCTTTATATCCTTATTATACATTCTTTTCTATATTTTATTCCTTTCTTTATATCCTTATTCTATAATCTTTTTTTCTTTTTCAAATTTATTTGATGTTTACTTTTTAAAACTTTTTGTTAAAAATGAATACACAAGCAGACATGTTAGCCTAGGCCTACACAGGGTCAGGATCATCAATATCACTGTTTTTTATCTCCACATCTTGTCCCACTGGAAGGTCTTCAGGGCCAATAAAGCTGTCATCTCCCATGATGACGATGCCTTCTGGATACCTCCCGAAGGACCTGAGACTGTTCATTTATTTTTTGTTTTTTTTTTTTTAAGTTTTCAGGTAATTTTTAATCTCAATAGGCTTAAGGAGCACACACTAAAATAATGATAAGTATAATAAATACAAAAACCAATGATAGAATTATTATTATTATACATAACTGTATGTGTGAGAATTTTATGTGACTGGCAGCACAGTAGATTTGTTCACACCAGCATCCTCACAAACACATGAGTAGTACGTTGCAGCAAGTTATGACAGCAGCAATGTCACTAGGTGATAGTTTTTCAGTTCCTTTATAATCTCATGGGACCACACCATCGTATGTGCCTCAGTGTTAATGGAAATATCCAGATGCAGTATACGATTGTATTCTCATCTTGCCCTTCACCAACCATCCAGTAAAGGCTCTGCTCCTCTCTTCACACTGATTCTGTTAATATTTTGGGTTTACTTCTAGTCTTCTGTTGTTTCAGTGCTGTCCATTGAGTTATATGTATGTTTTTTGTTTGTTTGTTTGTTTTTGAGACAGAGTCTTGCTCTGTCACCCAGGCTGGAGGGCAGTGGCACAATCTCCGCTCACTGCAATCTCTGCCTCCCAGGTTCAAGCAATTCTCCTGCCTCAGCTTCCCAAGTAGCTGAGATTACAGGCACGCACCATCACACTCGGCTAATTTTTGTATTTTTATTAGAGATGGAGTTTCACCATGTGGGCCAGGCTCATCTTGAACTCCTGACCTCAAGTGATCCGCACACCAAGGCCTCCCAAAGTGCTAGGATTACAGGCGTAACCCAACGTGCTTAGCCATATGTATATATTTCTTTCTTTTCTTTTTTCTTTTTTTTCTTTTTTTTTTTTTTTAGATGGGATCTCACTCTGTAGCTCAGGCTGGAGTGCAATGGCGCGATCTTGGTTCACTACAACCTCTGCCTCCTGGGTTCAAGCGATTCTCCTGCCTCAGCCTCCTGAGTAGCTGGGATTACTGGCTCCTGACACCACGCCTGGCTAATTTTTGTATTTTTAATAGAGACGGGATCACCATGTTGGTCAGGCTGGTCTCGAACTCCTGACCTTGTGATCCACCCGCCTTGGCCTCCCAAATATGCATGTATTTCTATGTATTTGCTATTGTGCTCCATTTTGAACCCTGAGACAGGTACTCATCACCCTTTCCATCTGCTGCTCAAACATCAATCACAGTATTTGGTACTGAGTAGCAGCACAATAAGTGGCTGATGAATCAGTGAGCAAGTGAAATAAAAACTAACGCTTTCAAATAGGTTTTTATTAAAGAGGCAGATGCTGCCTTCAGATGGGACTGACTTAGATTGTTCTTTAATAAGCTGAATAACTAATATCAAATTATAATCCATTAAAATATGCTTAGACAGCTGAGGTAATATAGTCAAATTACATTTTTCAGAGTAACTAAAGAGATGGATAATTAACATGATTCTCAGATTTACTGATTAATATTAGATGTGCCAAATAACCCTGTGATCTTAAGGTACAATTTTGACAAGCATTGAGTGCCTGTGCTACTGATTAAAGAGGAATTCAGGCACTCTAGATGACAGATGTGCAGGATGGCAAAGTTAAGGTTGATAACTGAAAGTTTAGAAACATACTTGTACTTTACTTAAGCAGAAATACAATTCTCTTATGCCTGGGAAAGACGTTCTGAGAGATGCACCAGTATTCCAGCCTGGGAAAGACGTTCTGCGAGATGCACCAGTATTCCATCTAAAAAGTGTTCCATCAAAAAAGGAGTTTTACATCTGTTCAAGCATTCAAAAAATACCAACAAAGTACGTTGTTAAGCCCCAGAATTCAATTTTAAATGGCATGGAAAAGATCATTCTGCTTTGCACATTTTTCTTGGAACAGGTTTTCTGAACTAAACAAATCTCAATATGATTACTGCAGAACGTCTAATTTTACTATTATTGCAATATTAGGCGGGCCTATTGGGATAAATTAGCTGTCTGATGTGGTAGTAATGAGGTTTTTATTAGGGCAGGGTCATATGAATATTTATGAATTATCCCAGTTTTAAGTTAGAATTAACCTTTTTCCCTCTTTTCTTTTCCCCCTTCTATCCATATCTAGAATAAAAGATATAACTGTTTTCTTAAATGGGCTCCTCATGACCTGCCATCAGATAGCAGAGCATATTTATCTAATTATTTTACTTGCAATAGGTCACTAACATAATTATAGGCCAGTAATCGCTGAAAGAGGCTGGTGATCAAATGAAAAGAGTTATACTAGCTCCATGGAGCAGGTATGCATTCCTAGGTCATATCCACCTTCAAGCTAATGAGAAACTCTCCCATCATACATGAACCACTCTATTTAGAAAGTTTGCTTCTACATCCTATGAAAAAAGGTTAAGTTCAGACGTCACGGGTTAACTGACAGCCTAGTTAGAATCAAGTGCCCAAATCGCTCTGCATTAGAAAATACAAAAACTAGGGAGGAGGAAGGCAATCAAGAGGAGAAGCAATTTTGCTTGAATATTAGCTCTCCAGTTGATGGAATGGGTCAGAACATTTTAGAAACAGACAATTGTAATATAAAATTATAAGTTGTTAGTGAGGTGATTGAGGAGTAAAAATAAAAGAGAGAGAATTTTATGTCTGAAACAACATAACGTGAAATAGGACAAGGACAACAAGGTAATTTGGCCTTAACATTGAATTAATACCTAAGAAAACTGATGTAGAGCTATGGATGAGGATGGGAATATAGTATAACTTTAAACTCAGTGATACATTGGTAATAGCATTAGATTTTCTAGAAGACATGGAATATGTGAGTTTTGAAAGTTTGAGTTTTAAAAGTCAGGATAAGGTGAATTCTGGGTTACATTAGCAGTAGGATGTTATAAGACTAAGCACTGAAATAAAATAATGTGTTTAATAACACAGGCACACACACACATACACACACCCTCCCATCTACAACCAGTGTATGTATCTATGTATCTATCTACCTATTTATTATGTTACATATCTATTATGCCACAATCTCCTTATACATATCTCTAATCGATAATTTATTGAAAACACTTACGCAGTGTGTATTGTGTCACACATTTTTCCAGCATTTTTCATAAGTAGACTCAAGCCTCACAACAACCCTGAGACATGAATATTACTGTCCTTATTTTACACATGAGGAAACTAAGACAAGAAGGCTAAAGAATTAGCCTAAGGTCGGCCGGGTGCGGTGGCTCATGCCTGTAATCCCAGCAGTTTCGGAGGCCAAGGTGGGCAGATCATGAGGTCAAGAGATTGAGACCATCCTGGCCAACATAGTGAAACCCCGTCTCTACTAAAAATACAAAAAAATCAGTGGGGCATGGTGGTTTGTGCCTGTAGTCCCAGCTACTTGGGAGGCTGAGGCAAGAGAATTGCTTGAACCTGGGAGGCGTAGGTTGCAGTGAGCCGAGATCGTACCACTGCACTCCAGATGGGCGGGAGAGCAAGACTCCACCTCAAAAAAAAAAAAAAAAAAAAAAAAAAAGAATTAGCATAAGATCATATGGAAAGTAAATGACAGAGGAGGGATTTTAATCCAGTCTATCTCTGAAACTTGATAATCGTTAAGTATTCTCTGATGTATGCCAAGTTTGCCCAGTTTCCTGGTGTATACATGCCTGGCCACTATCGTAGAGCTCATTACAAAGTGGATTGCTGATTATATTATTTAATTTAGTGGAAATTTTAAAACTAACTTGTATAGGAGGTGTCAAACTATCTAAATGGGCAATATTCATTCCTTCCAAAGTTCTGTATGGTATTGGAGAGGCAGTATATTTTTTATTTGTTGGGAAAATGATTTCTGGAGAGCCAGAGCTTCTTTTGTACACATCCTAGCTTCACCTCTTATACATTTTGTGACATTTAGCAAATAACATAAACTTTATTGTATTTTAATATCTCCATCTGTAAAAAAAGAGCCTTTAATGTGTACTTCATAAGGTTGTTGTAAGGACAAAAAATAATAAATATAAGTTAAGCTTTCAGAACAATGTCTACAACAGAGAAACCAATTAAAACAATTAGTTATTTTCATATCATTATGATTATAAAGTAGGAGTAATGAGGAAATGAGAGCTGAAAATAGAATCATGGAGAGTTTCATCAGGTTATCCTATAGAAATGATCCAGGAACATCTATTCTAGCCAAAAGGCCTCTATTGATTAGAGTAGATTTAAAAGGGGAGAGGTTTTGATGCTGAGGAACTTGTAAAATGTATCTTATATTTTTAATAAAATTAAAAGGAATTTATAAAGTTATGGAACTCTAAATAATAAAACAAACTTTTATTAGTACCAATGAATATACTGATTTGGGAGCAGAAGTGTTTGAGATCACTTTTTTATGTCAAAGCATATTTAAAAAAGTAATTGTATTTTCCATTTTCAAATGTCATTTTTACCCATATTTATGAAAAAGAAGGAAGCATTATTTCAAATTATGTTTTAGGTATTGTTACAGGTATAACAATGTGATGATGTTATAGGTATAACGATACCTATAACACCACTTACTGAGCATTTACTGTGTGTGCTACACTGTGTTAGGTGATGTAGATATGGATATTAATGTAGGAATAGACATGTGCATAAACATTTATGTAATAAATTTAATTTGGGCTCAAGAAGTATCCTGAATGCTAACAAAGTAAATATTAGAAAATGTGGACCTTAAAGGGTAGCTTTCTATTCAACAGTTGTGAGTTACTTTAAGGCTTGGATACATTATGAACTTGATTTTGTAATGAATGCCCTCAAGAATTCCTTTCAGAGAGAACAAAGTTATTACTTCTCTAATTTTAACACATTTAGTTCAAGTGTTTTTTGAAAATCAGTCAATCAACTCTTAATTTCTCCTTTGTTATTTCACAACATGTTTTATTTTTCCCTAAAGAATCAAGTAAATTGATAGATTGTTTCAGAAAAGCAATAAAAAATTTCCTATGAATATGTATATGGTAAATCCTGTACTTCATTTGGTACAGAATTATTTACTGGGAATTCTTAACTCTAAACATAGTGCCATATTATTTCAATTATTTATGACAAGACCTGGTTGTCAGTGAACTTGCAGGATACTTAAGAACAAAAACAAGTAAAACTATAATTGCTGTTTGTTTTCCAATGATGACCTTTGTTTCTTAGCAATACCCTTTGTTATGCCTGGGTATTTTGTGTATGGTGTGCTGAATCTTCTAAAAAATTGTCATATCACACATTTCATATGGAGTGGTAAGCAATCTCTAGAACTATGTCTATGCCCTGTGACTTCATATTAACTCCTTGCTGTTTTGTTTATCCACTTACTTATCCACCTTGGTTTGATATCTAGAATCCATTTCAGCAAAATATGAACACCCAAGATCTCAATATATTCCCATTACTTTACTTCGACCTGTTGTATTGCATATGATGCTATGACATCTGTTTACACTTTTCTATTCTCTTATCTCCTTTATTATATGTTTTGTTCTTTATCATTCACTGTTTTTTTCTAGATTTTCCCAATTTTACAAAGTTTTGATTAAGTACTAGGATAAAAACACTGCGTAATGTACTAAGGAATAAATATAACAATTTAAGATGAAATCTCTTAATTCTAGGCATTAATAGTCTAATTGGCACAAGACATTCCTACTTGAGGCATAGTGACCAGACAATACATTACATAACAAGCAAATGACATATACAAATAATTGTGCCAATAACTTCCAAATATATTTTGAACCCTCACAAGAATCCTATAAGGTCATCACGAATCTATTTTTGTATGACGTCAGGAGCAGATAATTTTAAGCTGCAGAATCTAGATAGGCACAGCTCTTCTGACCACAAGTACCATGCCCTCTCCACTGAGGCTGTCAACTAGAATAAGCAAAAGACCAACTAATTGTGAAGTAGACTTTTAATATTCTCTAATTCTGGGATGGGAGACTGCAAGAAATTGACTGCCTCCTTTCTGGTAGTGCTTTCTCTTTTGCAAATTCCTAATATTCAATTGCATCTGAAGTTAGAACATACCATTATCATACTCTATAGATTAAGCAAAAATCCTTACCCTCAGGAGGCTGAGATAAATAATATTATGAAGCAACTTTTCAAAAACCAACTCATTTGCACATGGTAGAAACTTCATTCTAAAAATTATTGTGTACCTCGGTTGTCAACAGCCATTACTGTCTAAGCTACTACACCAGCTGCCGTGTACTTTTTTCTGTTTTATAATCTGAACAGCACACATGTAGTGGACAATTCCAAATGCTGATGAATGAAATTTTGTTTTAGCCAACACTTAGAAATAAACCTAAATATATTTAATTTCTCCTAACTGTATATTTAGAAGTGAAAACTATGAAACATATAAAGTTTGCAAAGTCAAAACAAGTAGCTTGAGGTACCTGTTGGTCACTTTGTATTTTTGAAATCAATTTGATTTCTGTACTTAGGAAATAAAGTTGGCTGTGAAATAAAGACACAACATAATATAAATTATAGGAAATAGAGGGTGATTTTGCTTTGATGTAGCAGTCTAGGCTTAAGCAATTTAATAAAGCAAGGATTTTGTTTCAGAATGGTTAGAAACCTGAGCTACCTTTATTTTGTTGCATTTTCTTTGCTAGGCTATGACTCATATCTTCATGGTCTAAGGTAACACCTACACCATGTTCCTACTTGCCAGAAAACCTACACATAATCACACCTTTGTGCAAGAGAACCAGGCAGTATGGACTCTACTCCAGTGTGGCTGTCTAGAAGGAAAAGAAAAATAAATTCCAATCATAGACACAGAACTTTCAGTCTGTACCATAGGTTCAATCATCTGAGCTCTCAATGTTGGTCAGAATAAATTACATTTTAAACTTTATGAATACTTTACTCCAACAGTAATCTGTCAACATCACATGGGTGTTCATTTTTTGATGGGCTACTCATTTTTAACTTAACATCTATTGTATTCGGTGAAGGTGGTTCTGTACGTTGATTATTTGAACTTGGTTGATTTAAGATTATGATTTAAGATTAATTTTTATAAATAGCCCATGTATACAACAGAAGAATATACATTTGCTAATTATTTAGTGCAGAAATACACATTAGATGAAGCTTGTTAACTGTACAGTTATACTGGCAGAAATTTAAAATTATATATATATTTTTCTGTTTGATTGCAAAATTGCTGACAGATGAGTTGTTAAATCTTCTAAGATCAAGGATGGCTCAATTGCTCCCTGTAATCATACCAATTTTTGCTGTACACATTTTCAGGCTATTTTTTAGGTGCATACACACAAATCTTCTGCATATTTCTGTCATGTACCACCTTGTAACAAATATAGCTTTTCAATGGAAATATTTCATCTTTTTCCGGTTATTATTTGTTTGCATTACAATTTCCTATATTTTTTGTCTCCCAGATCTCATAGAACTGACTTGCATTTAGCAGTTCTCAGAATTTGTGGCCACTCTCTCTCTTCCCGTCACCCTACAGGTCCTGCGGGAGACTGCAACTGTCTTGATTTTTTTGGTGTCGGTAGGAAAATGTCACCCCCATCCACATTTCTATATTTGAGCATCCCTCTTTCTTTTTAGGTCCCAGTTCAAGCTCCTGTTTGTTGGTGCCAAAGACCTGCCCCCTGTGCTCTTTCTGTCAGGAGTGCAAGCCCCTTGTTCTGAATCAAGAACAGTGACCACAGGGTGGCGGCGCTTTCAGTGGCCGGTGGCATCTAACTTCCCGCTCATGGATGCTTCACTTTGCTTCTGCTAGTGCTTTTGCGATTCTCTGATAAAAGCAAATAATTTTCTAAATTTAGGAAAACTAGTTCTACATTTATCTTATATTCATTTTTCTATTTTATTTATTTCACCCTCAATATCTGTGGTCTGTGTCTTTAATAAGCTCTAAAAATGCATTTCATATAGATTTTGAGAGATTACATTATCAAATCCAGCCTAAATAACTCCAGCCGCACACCCACGGCCCCCACCACATGCTAGGCTATCTTCTCTCTGTGCTCTAACTACACTTGTTTGAAAATTGTCCTGCTTTCTTTTACCCTGGTGTGTTTGCATGCACACCATACCCTTTGTCTCAGGAGGCTTTTCCTTTTACTCCATCCACCCCTTTTACACATTTCTCCAAACTCAGTGTGGTCAATCCTTTTGCAAGACAAACTCTCTGACCTCCCTTTCTTTATCAAATCCCTACTAGAATTTCTCAGCACAACTGCAAAGACTTTAGAAGAATTGTTATTTTATATTTATGCCGGTTTGGGAGAGTTTGTGTCTCTTTGTACATATGTTTGTGTTGAGTAAGCGTACTGTAAATAAAGGGACCCTGTGTGTTGGAGCGAACTTTGTATCTCCAATACTCACCAAAGTGCTTAATACAGAGTGAACTGTAAATGCATATGTGTGTGTTTAGTACATGAAATAATGAGAGAATAATCTACTTAAATGACAAAGCGAAGGAAAGAGTCTTGATAATATATTTTTGCATTTCAGTGCAAGTTTTCTAAGATATTAATATGTTTATTTACAAGAGGGCTATGTGTTAGCATATCTAGAAATTCACTGCCACCTCAATATATTTTAGGACAGCCTTCAAATCATTTCATTAAGAATGGATTTGGCTTTACTGTATCAATGTTATAGAGCCGATTAGAAACTGAAGAAAAACTCTTATTTTTCAAAGAACTACAGTTTCTCAGAAATAGCATATGTTTTTGGAGGCTAGTTTAGTGCCTGCCATACACATAAGATTTAAAAATACTCCCCCAAATAAATGTGTTACTAATTTTACCTTAGAAAAAAAAAGTTTTAGCATCAAATATGTGTAGCACAAAATGTAAAATTCAAGCCCACCTTCTGATTTTGTATTTTTGAAAGGATGAGTATATTTGATTTCAGATTTGAGCCAGAGTAAATAGACAAAATATTCCATATGTCTTAATGGAGCAGCCAACTGTTTTTAATAAATATTAAAAATATGTATTTCCTCACCAAATCAGTACATTTTCTAAGGACCCTCTCAATGTGATGCTTTTGTTGTTTTGTTTATATTGTTTGCTTGTTGCTATTATCATAAATGACACTGATGATAGTTCAAAGACAAATACACCATTTCTTCCTTCAATGAGCTTACTGCATACACTTTAGATGAAAGTCAGTAGACATTCCTGACTAAAACATGACATTAAAGGACAGAGTAAATGTTAAAATAAGGGTGAAATCATAGTTAAAAGTTAATTATCATTTCAATATAGAAGACATTTCCTTCCTATTAGTTATCACACAGTGAAAATTTCCCAGAAAAATTTACAAAGACGGATTTAATTTGCACAAATGATTACATTAGCACAGTTAAAGGATATTAACAATTAGTCTGTATGTTCAACATGAAAACAATCCTGCAGAGTTTTAATTGAAGGGATTTATGCATATTTAGTAGGCTTAATGTTGTGTCTTCTTGAATCACTCTGCTGTGTAATGTGGGTGGGGTGTGATTAGGTTGTAATAAGGCCAGTTCACAATGGTGCATCCACAATGAGAGTCCAGATGACTGATCAGTTCAAATGGGACCCTGCTGAAGAAAAATGTGATAGCAGCAGAAAAGACTGTCTGCACTTGAATCCTTAGATGTGGGAGTTATTTCTGAAATGAGCCTGTCTTGTTTGGGTGTAAATTTATTTTCTTAGGAAGAATGTAATGGGATATTACAATGAGATTTTCCCCCTTTTTCAGAATAGTGTGAAAAAGAAAAGGATATTATGAGACCATTTATTTAAACAATTTTAAACCATGGTTTTACTGGCTTAGATATCTATGAACAGCATTTAAAATCCCAACAACTTTTTCTCAGTAATTCAAATATGGAAATTTAATGTAATGCAAATTGATATACAAAGATGTTCATTCTAGCAATATTTATAGTAGTAATATATTCAAAACAGATATTAATTTGTGGATTAAGAGCTAACTAAACTATGATACATTAAAATAGTTAAATATTATATACTCTCTAATTGAGATATGTAACATTATTCAAATGCCCAGGAGAATTTAAGAGAAAAGCCAACATTTAAATTGAATTTGGAATATAAAATGAAATAAAACAAATAAATTATAAAAATAAATGTAACATACCAAAACATTCATATTATTTATCAAGGTAAAATCTGTGATACATGATTGGCTTTCTTTTTAGTTTGTGTATATGTTTCATAATGATTTATGAATGAATTATGATTTATGAATCCTTATATAGATATGTTTATAAATACTAAAATGGAAAAACATAAGCATGCATGTTCTTTTTAGAAAGATAATCAAGGGAATAATTGTAAGTTATAAACAGAAGCATTTAAGATTACACTCTATCTACATATTAAAATAGATCCAAAATATGTAGATATTGAATGGGATGGATGTTAGTACCTGCCAGGGGAAACCTACTAATTTAGTTAAAACTGTTAGAAATAAGTGATGAGAGCCAACTACATTTTATCTGTAAAGTGATTTCTTCTGCCCAAAACTCATTTAATGCTTTGAGATACCAATTGTGCAAATACATTTACTCACTCTCTGAAACCTCTCCAAAATTAAATGACATAAATAACATATGTCATATCATGTTTTATGACAGTTATTCAAGGAACAATGAAAGTAAACCTAATATAATAGGAACATCTTTCCATTCACCTTATTATAGCATTTTGTATATATATATAGCATTTGTATAAGTATACCATTAGAATATGAAAAAAATGCTGAAGAAATCATCATCATTTTTAGTCTTATTAACAAACACATAAAAGCAATGATTAAATACCAAACCATGTGGTAATGCTTTTTTTCATTGTATTATATCTCCTTATCCCTCAGTGTATATTAAAAGGAAAAAAAATGTAATTATCTTCTCCCTTGGTGGCATACATAGCTTTATTTTTTAGCCACACCATTTACTGAATTTGAGGAGTGCTCTTTATTTTTTCCTCCCAAAAATACTATAATATTGTAAGGGTTTTAATAATTCCCATTTTATAATTTGGGAAATACATATGTGCCTAAATGGTGCATTGGTGTGTGTTTGTGTGTGTGTGTGTGTGTGTGTGTGTGTGCATGTGTGTTGATTTCTTAATGAAACCATTATTTTTGCAAAAAGTTTACTTTGAATTAATATTGTGAAATGGAAACTAGACAGTTTGCATTACTACCAAAATCTCAAGAATCAGGAGCTGAGGGTTAGATGACACGATTTTGGATTTGTTATGAAAAAACAGTATGTTTGACAGACCTTGTTAATATCCTTGGTGATTAACCATTCATTGACTCTGTAGTCCTGAGCAAGGAAATGTAAGCTCTCTGCATCTCAATTCCTCCTTCTATATTTTGAGGAAATGTAAGTTACAAATTCAAAGAACCAATGCAAGATACACACACACGTATCTCTACACTGTGTGTGTGTGTGTGTGTGTGTGTGTGTGTGTATATATATATATATGACTGGGTGGGGAAATATGACTGAGAAATATGTAACTCCACTCCCCCCACAAACACGCACATTATATATGCGTGTGTGTATATATATGCATATATATATTCAGATCCATGCAGTATACAAAGATGATTTATAATTCATTCAATTAGAATTTTTTGTATGAGCTAAGAAGAGGACTTCCCTTTATTTCTAACATTATGTTTTTTATACATTGTATAAGGAAGGTGGAATTTCTTAATTCAAACCATAATATGTGAGGCAAAAGAAAACAAATCATAATGGGTTCCTCAACAATTCAAGTTTCCAAAAAGTGAAAGCCACAGCATAAATACCACACGTATGATAATATAGTTTTGACATCTGCCTAAAAAATTGAGGTTTATAGTTCTCTAAAGAACATAATAGATGTAGATAATCTTATCAATAATGGTAAGATGTTATTTCTAACTTTTTCCAAACTATTCCCCGTCAGTTTAGGTAGTTCTAGATTTTCTATAATTATTATTACTTCTTGTAAATATTTCAACAGATTTTTTATCAGCTGCCAAACATTATAATACTTTGTTGTATAAAATTGTAAAGTTTACTATTTCCCAGTTTCTTGCTTGTGAATACTTTACTGGACTTTTAGAACTCTAGTGATATAACCCTAATATTTTATGAAATTTCCCTCAGGAGTATTTTAAAATAGTTTTTGCTTAGCTAAAAAAAAATTTGATTGCAAATAACAGAAAGTCACTTGCACTGGATTATGCAAATGGGTTTTACTACAAGAAAACAGGACTATTTTAAGGACTTTATGGTGGTGGCACCTGTTAGCTAGACATCACTGTCCCCACTGCTCTACACATCTTAGCATCCTCTCTCTCCAGCTTCTCCTGCTGCTGCCTTTCGCTGCCTCTCTGTATATATAGGATAAGATAGCCACAAAAAAGTTCCATGTGTAGAAATCCTCAGCTGCAAAACTTTTACAATTTAATTGTCTGTGAAAAATATTTCTGATTTTCTGGTGAAAATAATGTAAACATCAAATGTAAACCCAAGTCATGAATGTGAAGAGCACATGGAACCCCCCAAAAAATGTTTGAGAACCAATTAGATGTCCCCGCCTTTGGTGAGTGGACAGTTATCAAAGAAAGGAGGTTGTTTTACATGGCACAGTCACTCCAAATACGTCTATTATGTTAACCTTAACTATTTGTCCAAGAGTTTTAATAAAAAACAGCATGTATACATAATACAGTCATTGCCTTTATTTTCTTTGTGAAGAAAGGCAGTAGAGACATTTAGGATGAAAAACCAGCTCCAACATTTCTTATTAAAATTACATTTTATTTAAAGTTTTATTGTCTTTTCTATGGTTTTCAATTCTATAATTTCTCTTTCACAATACTCATTTTGACACATCAATGTATAGTAAGAATTCCAAATTAACTGCATTGGAAAATAAAAAGGGAAGATAGGGTTCAAAGAATGCAGAGAATACTTAATTTTTTTGCCACATTTTTCTTAACACTGAACTATTATGTGGAGTTAACACTATTAATATGACATCTTGTTTTATAATTTCAGGAGCTGATTCAACTTTTTACTTAGACACTCACTCATTTTGGGGGAAAAAGGTGCTAAGCATCTTAAAATGCTGTTTTAAAAAAGTTGATATTAACAAAGATTCAAAAAACAAATTCACTTAAAAAAGTTATCATGGGAAAATGTCATACAGATGGTGTAGGATGTTAGTGCAAATCAAATTCAGAGAAAAGAAAATTCAAGTAAGGCTATGTTGCTCAGAAAGGGAGAAAAAATGATATTTCAGCTGATAGTTTAGATAAATAAGCATGATGTGGTCTGTAGTTGAGGAAAGGATATCTGAAGACACACAAAAAGATAGCACAAGGTCTATTGTTTTATAGCACAAAGATCCCCTTGACTTGAACGGGGTGCTTTTTTAACAACTGAGGGAAAATAAAGTTTTGGAAATGTTGGTAAGGATTAGAGTATACACAGATACATGGTAATAAATGTCAAAGATGTGGGAGGTTATCCTGCAGCAAATAGAATGTTGCTAAAGATTTATGAGCAGGGTAATGAAACATTGAGAGGAGAGATACAGTAAAATTCATCTTTATTCCTTGGCCAGTTTGGTTGAATCAGGGAAGGAGAAATGAGAGGAAAAAGACTGCTTATTGCAGAAAAGTTAGTTTATTTACTTAACAAAATGTAACTATTGTAAAAAGTGGTAAGGTTTTCGGGAAAAGATGATGCAATTTGGAGCATTATTTGATAATAGCAGATCAAAGGACCAGGGTCTCTCATGCAAACCATATGAGATTCAAACTGTTCAAAGTATCCCAGTAGTAAGAACAGCAAAGGAAAGTGAAGGGTTTTTTTTATTATTGTTATCAAGCTTGTATTCTGATGTGCAGAATAAAGAGATTTGATAGACTAGATGGGAAGACATGACCGAGCTGGAGGGGAAAAAATATCTATATTCACTTTCTTCTTAGCCCATTCATAACTATAAGAAGGTATCACATCCTTACCAGCTACATAAAAAGTCAAAATAGATCAAGGAGAAGGGGAAGAGAGAGGAAGAGATTCCAAGAGAAGAGGAGACTTTCTTAGGACATTGAACGACTGTATGTATTGCATGAGTGTAGAGAAGAGAAAACACCAGAGAAGGAGGTGGCTGAGCAGCAGAAAAACTTGACCATAACAAAGCAGGGATTACAATCTGATTGGTGAGAGATTATCAGAATCTGCCTTGTATCAGTGGTTCCTACCTGTATATGGGTGACGAAATATGAACTTTCTAAACACACCCCTTACCATTGTTAGTGGGTCTAGGCCTCCTCCTAACTAAGGAATGGAGCTGGGAGTCTTTCCACTTAGGTTGCATAGAATGAATGACTAGTATAATAATATTCAATACACAATGAGTAGTTAGTGTAAGGCAACCCCTGGCCTCATGCTAACTCATTCATCCTACGATAGATACTGTTATCTTTATCATTCATGATTGTTCCAGACGCCTCTAGACAATGATGATGTAACACTGAATAAAACAACAACAATTATAGTTGTCAAGTAGCTGGAAGTCTTGTGTTTAGTCTTGGGTTTTGAACAGGTAATAAATTTTTGTTATATCAAATGTCAGTCTATTAAATGGAAAGAAATAAAGCAGGGATTTTAGGAAAGATGGGAATGTCATATGATTGAGCTGATATTTTAAACAGCATTGCCCATCAAGCTCTAACAAAAGCACAACATTTTCCTGTCAACCCAGAATATTTGAAACCATTTACAAAGTTGGGTGGGTAATGTTGTGGAGAACCAGGAAGGGAAATTGTTTAGATTGAGTAGTGAGGGAAAAGGTTTTCAGAAGATAGTGTTTGAACTGAGATTGAAATGATATGAAGAAGCCTGGTAGGTAAAATATGGGAGTAGAAGGTTCCTCCCAAATTGATCTAAAACCAGTAATAAAAGGCAATGCTTTAGGACATGAAAGATATTGGGGATCTAAAGGAGATCCAGAGAGCTAGATCTTACTTAGGGAGAATGAACATAGTGTTAGTTGCAATAAGAAAGATGGGCAAAACCAGCTTATGAAGGATTTTCCTTGATATTATAAGAAGTTCAATTTTGTTTTCAGGACAAGAAGTCCTGAAATTTTTAATATGAGAAGTGACAATCTTTTTTTTTAATCTTATTGCTGTAGAATAGGGATTCAATGATGGTGTTTACAGTAAAGGTTGTAGCATTTCAAGACTGTGGAGTTGGAGAACATTAGGATAATTCAGGTTATGTTTGGAGACAGAGCTATTCATTGATTATAAATCAATGAGGGTGCAATTTGCTGATATGGGAGAACTTAGAGAGTAATAGTAGATTAATTGTTTATGTTCACTTTGAGGTGATTATCAAACCTACAAATGAATATGTGAAGTAGGCAGCTGGCCAAAGGAGCCTCTAAGGTGGCCTTGTTAGAGAAATAAATTTGCAAGTTTGGGGCATACGGATAGAATCCAAGCCTTAAGATCAGATCAGATTAACAATCAAAGAGTATAAACAGGAAAAGGAAGTGGGTCAGTGACTGAGCTTTGAAGATAGATAAACTGGTAAAATAAAGGAAGAGTAATCAGAGGAAAAGGAAGAAATCCCAGCTATATTTCTCTTAAGTAGAAACTAGCAAGAAAATGGGGAGGTGTTCTAAGAATATCTTACAACTCTCTATTTATTAAAAAGTCTTTTCAGATGTAATATAAACACCACTTTAAATTGGCTCAAAGTTAAGGACTACTTTATATCTCATTTACCTGGTCATTCAGATATAGAGAGGCATTAGAATTAATGGATTCAATAACTGAATATCATCAGTGATCTAGGTGATTTTCATTTCTCTGTGTCTTACCACCAGTATTGACTCTCTCCTTAGGATAGTAAGAAGGTGGTTTAGTAAGACAACCAGTGTAGCAATTCTTCCCTAGGATATACAGATTCAACAATACTCAAAAGGAATAGAAAACATTTTCTTATCACGGTTTCTGCTTAGGCGATAAGAAACTTTGCCAAAAGTTATTATACATATTTCATCATGCATTTCATAGGCCAGAGTTAAATAACATAACAAGGTTTGGAGTGATCATTGGCAAGAGGTAAAGTAATACATCAGGCCTTATTTGACCTGGGACTATAGGCAGCCATGCCTTGACACATGCCCATGTGGTGAGGGGAAGATTCTTAAACACAGAGTTCTCATAGGTGATGAGGATGTGACAGAAGATGTTCAGTGGGCAACCTGCAACATTCAACACAGAACATTTGTCCACAGGATGTTTGAAGTGGAAAAGGAAAATAAATTTGTTAATAGGGAAGGGTCTGGAGGGTATCTCTTGGAGAGTTTTAATTTGTCAGCATGTCATTAGCACTATCCAGGTTAATATTTTTTTTTTTGAGACAGAGTCTCACTTTTTCACCCAGGCTGGAGTGCAGTGGTACAATCTCGGCTCATTGCAACCTCTGCCTCCTGGGTTCAAGCAATTCTCCAGCTTCAGCCTCTTGACATAGCTGAGATTACAGGCATGCGCCAACATATGCAGCTAATTTTTGTAGACACGGGCTTTTACCTTATTGACCAGGCTGGTCTCAAACTCCTGGCCTCAAACAATCTGCCTGCCTCGGCCTCTCAAAGTGCTGGGATTACAGGTGTGCGCCATCGTTCCTGGCTGTGGATGCATGATATTAACATAATCTAATAGCAATAGGCATTAATATGATTCACCGAACTATCCCTATTTTGAATTAAATTTTAGCTCATTAGGCAATCTTCTGATTGTCATGTGGCTTTTCAGTTCAATGTACTTATAGGAAGAGAATATTCTTTCTAAAATAGAAGTAATTTTATGTCTTATAACACCTTCTGCCTTATATTTACATGTACATTTGTGAGTTTGGTTAATATGTATTAATTCTTGTTTTATTGATGATATTTGTGTATCTCGGAAAATCATGTGTGGTACCCTTCTTGGGACCAGATCCTAGAAAGGTACTGAGCCATCCATTGCTTCCATAAGGCACTGCTTACAATACAACAGGTCTTCTCCAGGGGGCACTACTGTCTGACTATGCTTTTATTTCGATGCTAATGTTCACGTATAATTTAGAGCTTTTGTGTATCAAAGCCTTTCTGATATTTCGATACATTAGTAAATCTCAGTACCCTTGGGAAATTCATTCACATGAAATCCCACTTTGTAGTTAATCGTGTTAACAAACATGTATTGGTATCATTTCTAAATAATTGTTCTAAAAAGAAGTTTTCCTATATGAACCTATATTTTAAGTTAAACCACAACATTAAAGATTTTTAAATATTAAATCACTAATAAGAAATAAGTTCTAAAAGACAGATGATAGTGGTCAATGTTAGAACCCTTTTGTGTTAAAGAAAAAGCACATCAGATGTGTAAATAAGACTGAATCATCTCGTTTGGTTACACTTTTAGGTTTTGATTCACATGATAAGAACTATGTAAGTGCTTATAGCATTTTATTTCTTCCTTGCTTGCATGACTGTTGTAGAGGTAATTCACCAAATTACTTTTCAGATCAGTAAATTCTTATGCATTCTGTTCACAGAATACACAATTTTTCTGTCTTGATAAGAAATGCACATCAAACACAAAGAAATATTGGTATCACAACTACATAGAGAAACTACACCTAATTGTATACGGAGAAAACTCATCACCATTTTCCCACCATAAAGCATGTTCATGAGAATTATTTAGTTTTTATTGTTGAACTGCCAAACTTCTAATAATTGTCAAATTATCTTCTCTTTCTCTTTCACACACACACACACACACACACACACACACACACTATATATATATATATATATATATATATATATATATATATATATATATATATATATATATCTGGGGATTGAATGCAGCTAAATGTAATGCTTTTCAACAACATGCACAGTAGTTGAGAATGGCATCAATTAAAACTTCTGTGATTGACATGCCTAGGGAAATTCATCCTGTCAGTCATTCATGAAAAAGACATGTTGTGATCTTCCATATAAACTTCCCTAAGTACTTTCAGGCTTTAACGAGCTTCAATGACTAAGTGAGTCTGGGATTCTATAAATCAGTAGAGCTTTGTTTTCCTAGTAAAAAGCTGGCCTTTGGCCAGACACGGTGGCTCACTCCTGTAATCCCAGCATTTTGGGAGGCCGAGGTGGGCGGATTACTTGAGGTCAGGAGTTTGAAACCAGCCTGACCAACATGGTGAACCCCATCTCTACTAAAATTACAAAAATTAGCCAAGTGTGGTGATGCATGCCTGTAATCCCAGCTACTTGGGAGGCTGAGGCAGGAGAATTGCTTGAACCCAGGAGGCAGAGGTTGCAGTGAGCTGAGATTGTGCCATTGCACTCCAGCCTGGGCAACGAGATAGAAACTCCATCTCAAAAAAAAAAAAAAAAGCCCTGCCTTTATGCGGGCATTAAGGGAATGTAACCTATCTGAATAGTCTCTAAAATATAAAATGAGTTCAATTGTATTAGCTCAGGCTGCTATAACAAAACACCTCAGGATAGGTGACTTTCACAGTAGAAATTTACTTTCTTCCAGTCCTGGGGGTGAGAGGTCCAAGATCAAAGACTGGTTTCTGGTGATGTCTCTCTTCCTGGCTTGGAGACAGCCACCTACTCCATGTGTCTTCTCAGGGCCTCTTCTTCGTGCACATGCAGAGAGGGCTCTCAGGTATCTCTTTCTTTTCTTATGAGAATACCAGTTATATGAGATTAGGGCCCCACCTTTATAACCTAACTACCTTCTTAAAGGCTCTATCTACAGATAAATTCACAATGGATTTGGGCTTCAACATATACATTTTAAGGGGACACAATTTAGTCCATAACAATGTGCTTTGCCAAAGTATTTGGAAAATACTTCAGAGTGGATAATTGAATAGATAAAAACATGTGCTCTTCAGAATATACATATGTTTTCTTTCTTTTTTTTTTTTTTTTTTGAGACAGAGTCTCGCTCTGTCGCCCACGCTGGAGTGCAGTGGTGCTATCTCGGCTCACTGCAAGCTCCGCCTCCCGGGTTCACGCCATTCTCCCGTCTCAGCCTCCCGAGTAGCTGGGACCACAGGGGCCCGCCACCACGCCTGGCTAATTTTTTCTATTTTTTAGTAGAGACGGGGTTCCACCGTGTTAGCCAGGATGGTCTTGATCTCCTGACCTCGTGATCCACCCGCCTCGGCCTCCCAAAGTGCTGGGATTACAGGTGTGAGGCACCGCGCCCGGCTGGCTGTTTTCTTTTATATAAAACAATGTTTCACTCTGAACCTCACCTGCAACATCTCTGTATCAAATCCCTTTACTCTGTCACCTGAAATCATCCCTTCTCTATAATTTAATATCATCTGCTTTACTGTTTCATGGGAGGGGAAAAAGACTATGGTAGCATGATGTGTCATCAAATGACAGTTTTTATAATCGTGCTCTAAAGGGATTCCCCTAGTGAAATGCGCTGTGAATCTAACCATGGGCTCAGAACTTATGGTCCAGGATTAATGAAAGATTTTCTTAAATAACTTCAATCTGGGTTACACGGTAGGAGTTCTTTTTAAGATTTTTTTTTTTTCTTGAACATTACATACTTGGTTTCAGTGCTAGAGACCAAGGTTCTGGCCTCTAGGCTTTCCTGCTAGCTTAATTGTTTCAATAGAAATGGAATTCCAGGCATCCCAGCCTTGCAATATTGTAGAGAATATTCCATAAAGCACTGTAAGTGTAACTATTTTAAAAACACTGAGATGACATAGCAATACTGTTAAAATGCATACTGAAGTATGTATTGGTGTGAAAGAAGAAACATCTTCAGAAGCCATTCTAGCTGCTAGAAAGCTACACCTTAAAAGGAAGCTTATTTTCTTATTAACAAATATGTTAAGCTACCTATGGTTATGTGAATAAAAAACACCCACTGAGCAATATTCTGATGAATGTACAAAATTAAAATATTGAAAAAATATATATTAGTCTTTTTAAAAGTGTATTAAAAACATGTATTAATACTAAAAAGGTATTTGACAGAATTTAATATCCATTCCTTACAAAAATTGAACATTTCTGTTTTCACATTAAAGTCAATATGGTATTTTAAGTTGATGCAGATGGGGAGAAAAGTAAAATAAAAGAAAATTTTTTTTTTTTTTTTTTTTTGAGACGGAGTCTCACTCTGTCGCCCAGGCTGGAGTGCAGTGGCGCCATCTCGGCTCACTGTAAGCTCCGCCTCCCAGGTTCACCCCATTCTCCTGCCTTAGCCTCCTGAGTAGCTGGGACTACAGGTGCCCGCCACCACGCCCGGCTAATTTTTTTGTATTTTTCAGTAGAGACGTGGGTTTCATTGTGTTAGCCAGGATGGTCTCGATCTCCTGACCTTGCAATCCGCCTGCCTCAGCCTCCCAAAGTGCAGGGATTACAGGCATGAGCCACCGCGCCCAGCTGAAAAATAATGTTTTTAAGGATGGACACTAAAACCTATTCTGGTGGGATTAAGAGACAAATACTATTTACAGACAGGTTTATCTAATTTAAAACTCAACTGAAAAGAACCAGTGTTGGTTAAGATTGTTGAATAAAAAATGAGTGTTCATAAAATGATGGCTAATTAGAATAGTAAATAGATAAATTTAATTCATAATTTCAGACTTGAAAAAATAGGGAAAGAAATTCTGCCAAGAAATGCACAGAGCACACAGTAAGAAAAATATAAAATCTTTCTAAAGATCAACAAAGAAAACTTGAATATAGTATACTAAATTCTGAGATGTCATTAAAAATGTTATGCAAATGCCAAGATTTAATCTCTAAATTCCAAGCAATTTCAATTGAAAGTGACAATAAAAAAATTGCTATGTTTTATTAGAAAGAATACCCAAAGATTGTCAAGAAGAAACTAGAAAATTTAGAATAATAAAGATTTAACACTGTATTATAAATAATTTTAAAATATGTCTGTTTTCTGCATATGCTAGCCGGTTTTCCCAGCACCATTTATTAAATAGGGAATCCTTTCCCCATTGCTTGTTTTTGTCAGGTTTGTTGAAGATCAGATGATTGTAGACTTGTGGTGTTATTTCTGATGTCTCTGTTCCATCGGTCTACATATTTGTGGTGATTTCTCAAGGATCTAGAATCAGAAATAACATTTGACCCAGCAATCCCAATACTGGGTATATACCCAAAGGATTACAACTCATTCTGCTGTAAGTACACATACAAACGTATGTTTATTGTAGCACTATTTACAATAGTAAGACTTGGAACCAACCCAAATGACCATTAATGATATAATCTATCATTAATAAATAAATGTGGCACATATACACCATGGGATACTATGCAGCCATAAAAAAGAATGAGTTCATGTCCTTTGCAGGGACATGGATGAAGCTGGAAACCATCATTGTCAGCAAACTAACACAGGAACAGAAAACCAAACACCACATTTTATCACTCATAAGTGGGAGTTGAACAACGAGGACAGATGGACACAGGGAGGGGAACATCACACACCAGGACCGTCGGTGGGTTGGGGGCAAGGGGAGGGAGAGCATTAGGACAAATACCTAATGCATGCGGGGCTTAAAACCTAGATGATGGGTTGATAGGTCTAGCAAATCACCATGGCACATGTATACTTATGTAACAAACCTGCACATTCTGCACATGTAATCCAGAACCTAAAGTAAAATTATATACATATATATGTATATATATGTGTGTGTGTATACATATATGTGTGTGTGTATATATATATGCCATAGTAACTTAAAACATTAATTTAAAAGGAAATTGAAAGACGTGTACAAGGGGTGGAAGAAAACTGCACTATCCTGCAAATATAAAATTATTCTAATTTTAAAACATAACTTAAAGTTTAACATTACCTTTAAAAAGTAACTCTTCAATTAACTAAATAAAAAAATACAGAAATAGAAATACTCTTGTAAAAAAATTTATAAGAAACCAGTTCTAGAAACAGAATAATCACATAACAAATGTGGCCTAAACAAATAGAAAAACAATAGAGTATTTGGCAATTGTATTAAGCAGTTGATTATTTGAGAGCAATTGAAGAGAAATTCTCACCTAAGTTAACATAACAATTAAAAAATATTAGTATAGATTTGAGACTATCAACAGCATAATCAAGTGAAGGATTTTATTAGATTTTGGAATGTAGAAGGATTTCTAAGTAGAAAAATCATGTATGGAGATTGTAAAGAAAATGTGATCATTCTCAAAAGCAATTTGTTATTTTAAGTTGATGATTTAAGAGTGTTTCTTCTCTCTTATCCAGTAATTTTAAGTTTGACATGGATCCTAAGATTAAAATATCTATCATATTATTGTTTTATATTGATGAAAGAGGTCAGCCTGGGCAACCAAGCAAGACCCCATCTCTACAAAAAAAATTTAAAATTAGCTGGGTATGGTAGCGTGTGCCTGTAGTCCAGCTACTTTGGAGGCTGAGACAGGAAGATAGCTTGAGCCCTGTAGTTTAAGGCTGCAATGAGCTATGAACACACCACTGCACTCCAGCCTGGGCAACAGAGTGAAATCCTTTCTCTCAATAAACAAATAAATAAATAAATAATTTTTTTTTTAAATTGATGAAATAACTAAATATTTCAAAATAATGGAATAGATAAGTCATGAATCAGTGTACAATTCTGCAGCCATCAAATTCATAGTCTAAAAATGGATTTTATAAGAAAGTAAATACTCCTCATTTGTATATGCAGACAGATAATACATATATATATATAAATTCAATAAACATTTCAATTGGTAAATTATAGAGCATGAAGAATATGATATCCTATTAAATAAAACACATATATTATGTTGTATAATTCATATACATAGAAATGTATATACATTATCTCTGTAAACAATGTTTGAATGAATCAAGCTGGATACTGGGTTTATGAGTACAACATTACGAATAATGTTCATTTTCTAATTTTTTTTCAAATTTTCAAAAATCATTGTTATTTTTAAAAGAAAAGGCACACAAAATGGGTTATTTCTTTACTTTAGAAAGATGGTATAAAGCCCCAATCTAAGTCCCCTTCTCTCTTACTTCCTCCTTTATTGGTCCCCATGACCACTTTGGCTGGATGAGAAGTTTCCCTGTCCACACCCCCGCCAGTCCCCACACACTCTCACAAGCTGCCAAGGCAGTGAGGCTTCTTTTTTTGCTCAATGCTGTCTACCCCGCACTTAGCACTGCATATGGCTTGCAATACGGTGCCATATGAGAATTTGAAGAATAAATGAATAAAGACAAAATGACTTTTCCCTTGCCAATTAAATAGAACCGTCATAAGACATGTTCAGAGGTAGTGCAAATTCTGAGAAGAAAACAAAGCATGGCTGCAAGAGGTTGTGTGTGCTTGTCATCCCAGCTACTCTGGATGCTGAAGCAGGAAGATGGCTTGAGCCTAGGAATTCAAGACCAACCCAGGCAACATAGCAAAACACCATGTCAAGAAAAAAAAAAAAAGAAATTAAAAAGAAAACAAAGCATGGAGTAAGTCAAAAGGGAATAATAATATTTAGTGTTTGGTGTGAATTCAAACCTCAAACCAACTTTAATAGAAAATCTGTTGTGAAATATCTGTTTGTTCATCATGAGAATAAAGAAAAGAATGTTAGAAATGGCAGGAAAAAACAAATGGGAGGCAATGGTTTATTCAGGAAAAAAAAAGGTAAGCTTAACTCTGGTCTTGAATGCAATTTTACAAATGTAATTTGAACATGCAGGAAAGAAAATAAAGCAATCACTGGAATCATACAAGGATTCTCTAATAATTTTGTTGCTTTTTTTCATGTTGTGTGACAACTTCATCAAAAGAACACTGTCATCATGCTGTAGCATGCATTGTCAGCTGATACCTTGAATGCTGTTATCCCAGTCCCATTTGTAGCCCAAGGAAGAACTAAACTAATTGAACTTTAAAATCCTTCTACAGGAGCATATGTTTGATCTGCATTCCTTTTTTTTTTCCCCTCTTTAATATATTGCACCTAACATTCCCGCTCACCATGGTGGTAATCATTGAACTGATAGACATGAATTAAACAAAAGGCCTACCTTAAATGGCCCATGATCCATGATGTGAAGAAGCCATGGAGGCATGTAGTTGAAATGCCACATGGGTTAGTACATTTGCGTTACTCTAAGGAATACCCGAGGCTGGATAATTTATTTTCAAAAAAGAAGTTTACTTGGCTCATAGCTCTGTAGCCTGTATGAGAAGCCCGGACACCACCATCTGCATCTGTTAAGGGCCCCAGACTGCTTCAGTTCATGGTGGAAGAGGAAGGGGAGCTGATGGAGGGAGCTGTCAGACTCTTTTCAACAATCAGTTATTGTAGGAACTAATAGAGCAAGAACTGACTCATTACCACCGCTACTACTGCACTAATTTATTCATGAGAGATTCGACCCCATGACCCAAACACCTCACATCAAGTACCACCTCTAACATTGGGGATCAGATTGCAACATGAGATGTGGAGGGGACAAATATCCAAACTATATCACCATGTAGGTAATTATGTTAATGGGAGAGTTAAAGTGAAGTGGGAGGAAAAGAAAAACATGTATTTCTTTCCTCTTACCTTTTCTCTTCCTTTCTATTTATCCTTCTTTTTTTCTGTTCTTCTATTTATCATTTTTACTAATATTTAATGAACATTTACAGTGTGTAAGAAACTCTGCTAGATTTTAAGAAAAGGGTGACAATTAGTGTGGGGGATAGGGTAAGCCAAATGGCACTACTACAGTCAGGGAAAGTGATGCTTCCATTTTGCCTTGTAGGAAAAAGTGAATCTCAAAAGATTGCAAATGGCTTCCACTGGAGGCATTATAGGCCCAGATGATCTTGTTTGAAAAGGTTTAAAGCCTGATGCCTAAGATTTGAGGAAAGATTTGTGAGAACCTCTTGGACTTTGTGAAATGGAAATCATTACATTAAAAGTTTAAGATGTGTTTTCTGTATACTCAAACCTTTCAGTTAGGTATTATGATGCAATTTTTAGCAGAAGTAAACCAGGGTTTGAATGAATTGAGATCACATAGGTAGTAAATTGCAGAGCCATGGTCCTAGTCCCAAATCTCCAATTTCTCCAGCTGCGGAGCAACTTCTCACTGGATCTTGGAGTAAAGGATAGTGAACTATGAGCTAGATGATGTATCAAGTTAACTAATAGTAATATCATCTAGCTCATAGTTAACATGGTTCCAAGATTGACAAGAAGTAAGGAATGTAAAAAATAAGGAATGCCCAATTGAAGCACAGGCTTTTTTCAGTTCTATGCAAGAAATACATGTATAGTTTTATATTTCTGCTTGAAGTGTTACATGTTTAGCTACACAACTGTGACTTTAAAACACTTTATGATTTTATTGAATTTCCTGCAAGTTATAGATGAGCAATTGCTAAGGAAAAAAATATTTTTAAAAAACATAGGTAAATGCTAAGTGGTTTTAACAAAATATCATATCTAGCTAAAAGGAAATAAAACTCATTGCATGGATCGGTCCATCTGTGGTATTGGGTTTGGTTATGGACATCCCAGTCTGAGAGACATTAACCATGGTGTCCCATGGAGGAGATAAAGGATGGTGCATGACCTGAAAACTGTCTCATGAGAAATAGTGAAAAGACTGAGTCTGTTTATAAGAGAATAATAAAATCTTAAATAATGAGAATGATTAACAAAATACCCAGCTAGTGATTTTTAATCAGAAATTAGAATTTTATAATACCCCTAAAGGTAAGTAACAAGCACAGAGGGACTAAGTGATTTGTGCAAGTGGCACAAAAGAAAAGTTAAGGGATTTTCCTGAACTTACAAAAAGGTTATCAGAATGTCTATCATTGTATTTTTCAGCTCATTTATCTTCCTGCCACACTGTTCTGTTCCTTATGTTATATCCTCCTTCTCTCCTTGACTTTATATACTTGCTGTCATGTGATATATAATAATTTTATCTGTATCTCCAGAAGATAGATTTAGATTGAGTCAGGGAATAAGTAAATTTAATGAAATACTTGCTAACCATTACAGCTTTTCAATTATACCATTGGCTCCTTTAAAATATTATGGATTCCTTTTTAGCTGAAGTGTGTAATAAAACTTGGATGGCCATTAAAAATTATCCTACTGGATACAGTACTGTGAATAGATAATGTTGAAGATCACTTAAAATTCCCATACCCTGTTTTATCTTTGAGTTATTATCAGGAAGAAGATTTAATTTAGAAGATTCACTAAAACCAAGGAAAGCAAAAAGACAAACAAAAAGATGTTTCATGGTATACAACACAGTTTTGTGCAATAAATTGACTTCCATTAATAGTGCTTTGGTAATTCTTCATATTTCTGTTTGTGAGTGCCTTCTTACTGAAACAAGGAAAAAAATTCAAGTCACATGCAATTTTTATTTCTTTCAATCCACTTTCAGAAAAGTAATTCCTCCTTTCTCATAGCCGTCTAAATCTAACTATCTTTGAAAACCAGGTGAAATACCATCATCTCTGTGCTGTTTATCTTCCAAAATTCAAATTTGGGGTTAAAAATTTCCTCTTCTTTCATGTATTTTATAGCTAAATTATAGAATTTCACAAAATAAATTTTATTATAATTATTTGTACCCATGACTTTGTCCACTCATCTCTGTCATATTGTGTCAAGATCACAATGTATTTCTACTTTGATACAAGACCCTAAACTTCATCACTTCCAACTCAGCTCCTTATCTGTGAATAGTTTTTTAAAATTTAATATTATTTCAATCAAAATGAATATTTAAAAACTAAGATTTTTGACACAAACCTGTCTAGCTTGATCTTCATCTATTATCCCAATCAATTTAAGCTTTTTTCTCCTTTTTTTCCTGTTTTACTAAGTTCTTGCAATATATAGGAATAAATACTTTTGAAACAAAAAAATATGGGTCAACTTCCTAGTTATGTATTTGCACTTACTGTGGGGAAGGATCTTCCAATTTTACTCATTTTTATTTTGCTATTTGTAACACTTTCACTGTAGCTTTGGGAAAAGTCTTCAAAGATGTACCCTGTATATTGTGTACCTATTCTACATATGTCATCCTTGTAAGGGTTCTAAGAACAGGACTTTTTCCAGTGTATCCATTATAATGTGGCATACACGTTTCTACTGTTAGCTGAGGGCCAAAAGCATTATGACAATGTTGGTGCAAATTAAGCCCAACAGCTCTCATCACGCCATGCTTTATCCATCTATTCCCTCTTTCCATCTTATGTGCCCACAACAGAATATCTACAATTCCAAAAGTTTGAAACCAGGACAGTTTCCAAGTAATTGAAATATCCTGGAGAGAAGATAGGTATTCTTCATATATACTAGAATACTACAGATTGTCCATGATGTTAACATAATTACAGAGATTTTTATACTGCTATTTAGACAATCCCTTTCCTCTTCTTAACATTTCTCCTTTTAATTCAGGCTGTGAATATTTTTCACAGCTCTAGTTACAAAGCAGACTATATTATTGCACTTTGAAACCAATCATTTAACGCCTGCTCAAAAATTATTAAATAAACATTAATTGGCCATTTTGCTATCATTCAAAATACTCTCTTCCTAATTAATTCAAGAGTGAGATTCTCAGTCACAGAGTTCTAACCTCTATGTCAAAAGCCTCAAATATATGAGATATCAGTAATTCATAATATACAGCATGATGCTTTCTTTGATAATGTTTATTTGTGTTTATTTTTTGTAGCTTTATATAAAGTTATACAACATCCTATTATTTTTGGCACATTTTTTCATCCAGTGCAACAAGAATGTTTCTTACATTTGCTTTTCTTCAGAAGTTTCCTTTCAGTGAGATAATTACACACTCCTCTGACTTGTAATGATGAGAAAAACACTCAGGTTGCCAGATGGTATTATTCGTTACAGAGAAAAGAATATAATAGAAATGTTCCATCGCTGCGGGATCCACTATTAGTTGGCCAATGGATCTAAAAATCTGCACTAGACAAATGTAAAGTGGAAGCGAGAAATTTCTAGCTCAAATAATTTACTATTTTTTAAATTCAAAAGATGTGAAAATAATTTGAATAGTCACGTAATTCTGCAATTATATTCTCCTTTATCATTATACCCACATGACTTATTAAAATGCTTTAAACATGTTAAAATAATTATATGTTTACATTGGCAAATAACGATTTTATTCTAAATTATCCCAATTTTTCTTTCCCAAGCTGGAATTAACTTGTGACTATCTAATATATTTTATCTAATGCCTTACATCTTGACAGCATTCCACTTATACTATCTCATTTAATTCTCATGAATCTCCTGGACGCCAGTTGTTACTCGCACACAATGAAACGGGACTATGTAGGGGAAAAGAGTCCTGTCAGTCACACAGCTGGTAACTTACAAATGCAGTACATGAAGCTAATTATAAATTCTCGGTGCTTTCTATTCTCATAGACTTTCCTTGGCTTACAGAATTGG
Organism: Homo sapiens; assembly: GCF_000001405.40. Taxonomy (NCBI): domain Eukaryota; kingdom Metazoa; phylum Chordata; class Mammalia; order Primates; family Hominidae; genus Homo; species Homo sapiens. The sequence goes on along the minus strand of NC_000005.10, from coordinate 22,687,991 downwards.
CCATCTCAAGGCATCTTTCAAAAATGCACAATATCCTACCAGAGACATGAAACTTAGCAAGACTATGAAAGAGACAGAGCTTATTTTGTGATTAACACCTCCTTCTGTATTTGCTGTTCTTTTTGATTACATAGTTGTTAATAAATCAACATTTTACTATATTCAGATAATCTTTTTTATGTTAATAGAGGACACATCATTTGGAAGCCTTTAATATACAAATGAATAAATGATAACACAGGATTATAAAGCAAACTTAAAATATGTGTGGAGCATGAGCCAGGCACAGTGGCTCACGCCTGTAATCCCAGAACTCTGGGAGGCTGAGGCAGGTGGGTCACTTGAGCTCAGGAGCTCAAGACCGGTCTGGGCAACATGGAAAATCCCCATCGCTACAAAAAAATTTAAAATATATATGTCCTGGGCATTGGTGGCTTGTGCCTGTAGTCCCAGCTACTTGAGAGGCTGAGGCAGAAGGATCACTTGAGCCCAGGAAGCTAAGGTTGCTGTGAAACGAGATCATGCCACTGCATTGCAGTCTGGGCAACAGAGTGAGACCCTGTCTCAAAAAAAACAAAACAAAAAAGTGTGGAGGAATTTTACAGTGCTATATTTGTCTCAACATAATAACAACATAATTCTGTTAAAGAATAAAATTATTTTATCATTTTTCATTTTTTTATTTCTTTCTTTTTTTTTTAGACGGAGTTTCACTCTATTGCCAGGCTGCAGTACAGTGGCTCAATCTCGGCTCACTGCAACCTCCGACTCCCTGGTTCAAACGATTTTCCTGCCTCAACCTCCCGAGAGGCTGGGATTACAGGCACAGGCCATCATGCCCAGCTAATTTTTGTATTTTTAGTACAGACGGGGTTTCACCATATTGGTCAGAGTGGTCTCGATCTTCTGACGTCGTGATCCACGCGCCTTAGCCTCCCGAAGTGCTGGGATTACAGGCATGAGCCACCGCACCTGGCCCATTTTTCATTTTTAAGTATGAATTACCTCATCAGGTATTTCAGTGGTAGCTAAGTGAGAAATTCATACAGGGACAACTTTTGAGGCAGAGGGATAAGGAAAAAGAGAGTATTTTTAACAACAGAATATTTTCCATGACAGCAAGCGTTATAGTGAGCAGACAACCCTTGGGTTAGAAATAGGTTATGATAACCTGTAGAGATCTGTTAAGAGCTAAAGTGCAAGTACTATGTATTAAAACAATGTTAGACATTTTATGTGTATTATTGAATTTAATTTAATCTTGAAAACAACTCAGTGAACGAGGCACTTTTATCCATCACCCCCATCCTACTGATTAAGAGACAGAGGCTTAGAAGAGGCAATTACATGGTTCAGTATTAAAAACTCTTCAAGAAATGTTGCTGAGACATCTGGATATCCACATGTAAAATATGAAGTTGCACTCCTTCCTCATAATATTCAAAAAAAAAGTCAAAATGCATTATGAGCAACATTTGAGAGCTAAAACTACAAAATTCTTAGAATAAAATGCAGCAGTAAATCTTCATGACCTTTAGTTAGGCGAAGACTTCTTGAACATGACACCAAATGAAATGACCAAATAAAATTTAGGTAAATTGTACTTTATCAAAATCAAAAGTATTTGTGCATCAAAAGACATCATCCCTAAAGTGAAAGACAACCCATAGTATGGGAGAAAATATTTTTAAATCAAATACATGATAAAGGACATGTATCTAGAATATAAAAAGAAGTTTTACAACTCAGAAATAAGACAAAAAATTGAAACTGGGTGAAAATATATATATATTTATAAAAAAACCAAAATGCCCAATAAGCACATAAAAAGACATTCCATATCATTTGTCTTTAAGGAAATGCAAATAAAAATCACAATGTAATACCACTTCATATCCACTACAGTAGTTATAATCAAAAAGAAGGACAGTAACAGATGTGGATAAGAATGTGGAAAAAGGTGGAGTCCTCATATATTGTTTATGAAAATGTAATATAACCTTGCCGCTTTGGAAAGTAGTTTAGCGGTTCTTCAATATGCCAACTATAATTACTACAGTATGACCCAGCAATTCTACTCCTAAGCATATATATGAAAAATAAAAACATATGTCCATACGAACTTGTACACACATGTTCGTAATGGCATTAATCATAATACTGAAAGAGTGGAAACAACCCAAATGTCCACCAACTGATGAATGGATAAACACGATGTGTTCTATCCACAAAATTAGATGTTATTTGGCAATAAAAAAGAAAGAATGATGCATGTTACGACATTGATGAACCTTGAAAACACAGTAAGTGAAATAAACCAGCCAGAAAAGACCACATACGGTGTTATTCTATTTCTATGAAATATCCAGGATAGGCAAATGGATAGAAACAGAAAACAAATTAATGGTTGCTCAGTACTGAGTGAAAGGAGGTGTGGATTAAGAGTATGGATATGGCGCTGGGCGCAGTGACTCACGCCTGTAATCCCAGCACTTTGGGAGGCCAAGGCAGGTGGATCACGAGGTCAGGAGATCGAGACCATCCTGGCCGACGTAGTGAAACCCCATTTCTACTAAAAATACAAAAATTAGCCGGGCATGGTGGCATATGCCTGTAGTCCCAGCTACTTGGGAGGCTGAGACAAGACAATCACTTGAACCCAGGAGGTGGAGGCTGCAATGAGCCAAGACCGCACCACTGAACTCCAGACTGGGCGACAGGGCGAGACTCCATCTCAAAAAAAAATAAAGTATGAATATGGGTTGAGGTGACGAAATAGTCTAAAATTGGATTATAGGAATGGTTTCATGACAGTGAATATTTGTACAAATAATTGTACACGTTAATAGGCAAATGATATATGAATTGTATCTTAATAAAGCTACTAAAAACAAAAACTGATGGGCTATGAACTCAAGAATTTTGACTTTAAATCACCTCCATAAAATGTACGTAGAGGTCTTTATTGAAGGTCTGCCAAAAAACTATTTTTATTATCAAAGGGAGAAATTTTCCCCTTTGCACTTGACTTTCTGAGCCTATTGGAGGAAAAAAACAACAACAACAAAACTCATGTGTCATGTCTGGTTCTATTAATTGGGACACTGTTTTGTATTGATTTAAGTAAAGGTTAAGATGTGCTTTTGTACTGATTCTGATTGAAGAATAAAAACCATTGACTCAAGTGATCTGTGTGTATATGCACAAGTGTGTGTGTGAGAGATGTGTGGGGAAGAGCTGTTTAGTATACAACGATGTTGCAAGTAGAAAGGAAGCTGGGTATAATTTGCAGAAATTTAACACCAATTGCTATAGCTCTAGTTTCATTTTACAAAATGCATTGACATTTCTTTGAGAGATTTCTCTGAGTCTAGATTCTCCTACGCGTTTGAAAACCTAAGAATACGTGACAGCCCATCTTTTATGCTTTACCTGGAATTATGTTATTTAGCTGGTAATGGCATACGCAGTTCTCACTTTGACTTCACAATCATTTGAATGGCTGTGCTCACAATCAGTGTATATCTAGATCCTCACCTTTTAACTCACAAATATTTCTTTTTCTTACAGTATTAGTCAGAAGCTGCTTTTTAATTAAATTTGATAGTCAAAATCCAGGGGTGACTATATTCAATAACAACTTAATTGTATATTATAAAATAACTTAAAGAATGTAATTGAATTGTTTGTAACTCAAAGGATAAATGCTTGAGGGATGGATACCCCATTCTCCATGATGTGATAACTGTGCATTGCATGCCTGAATCAAAATGTCTCGTGTGTCCCATAAATTTATACACCTACTATGTACCCTCAAAAATTAGGAAAAAAAATGATTTAAAGAGTATTTTTTAAAAAGCCAAGGGCCTCAGACAAACAATGCACATCACAATGTTTAAAGATCTCTGGATCATGGGAGATAGGACTCCCTTGTGAAATACAAGTTGAAAGATGCACTTTGAGGTCTGTAACATTGTCCTTAACTGCAGTTATATCACTGCCTTTTTATTGATATTGACTTTACGTTAACAAAGAAGAATTAAATTCAGTGACTAGAGAGTCTTGATTCTATACATTCCTCATGTATGCCTCTGGGCAAGGAAATCTCAAGGTTACTTCTTGTGATGTCTATGCCCTGCCTCATTTCAGGTGAAGATGAAATCCCTGGAGCTTGGACAGCATGGACAATGTTGGAACTCTGTGTGCTTGTAGAGTATAATGCTAAACGAAACCTTTTTCCATACTTGAAATTTCTCTTGCCCAAGTTTCATTACAAGTTATTTGTCCAATTTCTTCTTTAGCGAAAAAGGTGATATAAAGGAAAGAAAGGAGGGAAAGATGCTGATTTATTTTAGGCACTTAGCTCAATTTGCTTTTACTTGTTTGAGAAATTGCTTTTTCAATGCAGAAAAAAATGTGTTGCAGTGAAATAATTCCATGGGTTTGATGACACTGCAGTGTGTTTCTTCCCTGTTATAAGCATATATCTGTTATAAGCATAAATGAAATGAAGAAACTGCAGCATTATCATTATTTACTTCCTTTTATTGCTACTCTTTCTTACCTACTAGATTACATGTGTGTTACTGAAGTTACTGTTTACACTTATTTAACAGTATTGACTGAAATAACCCTGAATCTCCTCCGGTGAGGACTGATTTAGCTACAAATCACTGTTCCAGCTCTGAAATCATTAATCAGCCTTAGGCAAGATCCATTATGTGGGATTTCAGCATAGAAGAAATATTAACAGCTCTCTGGAAGAAACGTTACCATCACATTGGCTGTGACTCCCTGCTGGAGCAGCAAATTACCCTCAAGTAATAATTATAATACATTAGTAGAGGTTTAATTTCCAATAAGTGCTGTCTGTTTAAGAAATGGCAATCTCAGCAGGGCTCAGAGAACAATAGATCATGTTATCAGCAAGAATAAACCTACATGGAATTAAATGAATGATAATAAAAAATTCATTACAGTTTGAAAACTGTAGAAAAATAGAGAAGCCAATGTGAGTTCCTCAGTTACATTTTTACAGAAAATCTTTGTTTATGGATCATCTCACTGGGTGATATTAGGCATGGCTGTGAATTTTTCTTCTTAACTTTGGAAGATAGCAAAATTGTTAATTTATTCTTTAATATCAATGACAAGTTAGTAATAGTTTTTTGTTTTGTTTTGCTTTTTTTTTCTGAGGGGAGGAAGGTTTTAATGAGAGTAATGGAACTACAGGGAAAACTCATTCTTTACCTAAGTGTACTCAATGAACCACTTTTTCTTCAAAATTAATATTCCAGTTAAAAACTTTCAAAAGTATAGAAAAATTAGGGTTTTAGAGGACTGCTTATAATTCCACTTTAGACAGACAAAAAATATTTCTTTGGAGTTAAGCTTGTAAATGGTTTCAAAAGATAACTAGTTCCTATTAAGTTTTAGAATAGTCTGAGTTCTAGGAAGCCTGTAATATACACTTAAAATTTTAAATAGAATCTCTGTTGTATACAAGTTACCATATAAGAGACCACTACCGTGTATGTTGTATCCTGTCTACCCTTTGGCTTAAAGTGAAAAACAATCATACATATATTAATAAGACTTATTTAACTTTTAAATGTAATGAAGATTTTATTTATAATGCTTTTTAAAAGTTTTACTAGCACTATTCATTTCTTCCCAAATTATTAAGTATCTAGGCAATGTCCACAAATATTGATGTGATAACAGCAATATTCTGAAATTTTGATGTTCACTAGTATCTTGTGCTTAAGCAGTCTGTATTGTAAAGACATTTTTATTCTAACAGCTGAACTAAGTTCTCCTATTGAACAAGTTCTAGCACATTGCGTAAACCAGATTACATATGTGCCAGGGCTTGAAAATTGTTCTTCAGGTTCAGTGAACTATTGATTTAAGGAATTCAAGGTGATTCCATTACTGGGAAAAGAGATTCATATTTTCTTAACACTGTAGGGTTTGCAGTTTGATTTATGTTTCCATGAATGTATATGCTTAGAGATTTTTTTTTCCTTCTGTTTTACTGTTTGATGGATTTCATGTCATACTGTCAGATACAGAAACCAAACTGAAAGATAACTATTATAAGTAAATTCTGCCTCTATTTCATAGTGAAATATGCATTAAGGTTGAATTTGTACAAAATTCAACAAAAACAAACAATCTCCTAATTCTATCTAATAAATCCAATGTGAAACCTAGCGTAAGAAATTACCAGATTTCTAAAAATTTGAAACAATCACAATGTTTCAGATCTTTTTTATATATAGTGACACTTTTGGAAATACATTTGTATTCCTTTACTTATAGATCTTTGGAAGGGACGAATGTTCAGAATCATTTAGATAATTTTAAAAGTTAAAATCAGTTGCTAGCTCTAAAACATTCACAAATTGCTCCTTTTATAGTTTAATATGCAGCATCCTTAAAAATTATTTCAGAAATTCATTACAAGTGAAGCGATGTGACAGATCCCGATCTTGCAGCCCTTATTCCACCCAGCATGCAATGCAATGATCTCCACTAATTACCTGACAATATACTACTCAGGCATGGAACTTAGCAAAATGCTTTCACACTACCAGGTTTTTCTTTCTTAGGTTAGGAAAAAAATGAAACATGGCTAAGAATGAAGTTTACCCTCTCATGCCCATATTCAGAAATTAACCTTCAATAGTTAGAAAAAAAAACTGCTCCTGGGCACTTATCTAATACACACACACACACACACACACACACACACACACACCCCCCAATACCCAGGAGCTTAATGATTTTACATAACTAGTTATTGCTGTACAAAAACGTATAATTTCATGGCATTCTTTCTTTTAAAATAAAATTTTGGTTATTTTCTATTTGAAAATAATTCAAGGGTTTTAACCATGAGGTAATTAATTAAAATTAGTAGACTTCTTAGATACCTTCTACTTGAATGCATAGCCCAGAAACATATATTTGCACTTGTGTAATGAAATATACACCTCAAACTTTTAAAAATATATTTTAAAAATCTAATGAATGTGAAGTAGTCATGCTTCCTAAATATCAGAGTGTTAAAATACTTGTGAATCAGTGAAGGAGTAAGGTATTTGGTATATACTGAATGTATAATGATGCAATCTCAAGATGAAACTTTCCAGAGCAACACTGGATGAAGATTAGTAAATGCTCCATTCCAGAAATCAATGGAGAAGAGAGAGATTGTGAATAAGATATAGATGAACAGTTAGTAGTACGTATTATTTAACCCCAGAAACTCTATGTGGCTGCCCAATGTGTTTTGTAGGAATTGCTGAAGCAATCAACATAGTCATCCATATAATACAAATATGGTTGTCAAGAACTCACACTATAACCTGGTTCAGCTACGGTTATTACAGAGCAGGAAACAGAGTTAAGCAACTCGATTTTATTCTAGACCCTGTCATTTTCCAGCTTGTGTCTTCGGGCAAGTCATCAACATGCTATGAGCACCTTTCTTTACCTCTTAAATGGAATAAAATACGTGAGTTGGATATTACCTGTTAGTTTTGTAAAAATCAAAAGAGAAGATACAATGTATTATTATTAATAATAATACAAAAGATCAAAAATAATTACAACAATATTAATAGCAACAGGGTTTCTTTTGCACTCCCTGAGTCAGTAAGCTAAGTGGAATTCATGTATTTCATTCATTACTTTTTCACAACTGTGAGATATTTAATATGACCATTTCCAGTTCAAGTGAAGGTAATAGAGAAAGAGTAAGCTGTTTACCAAGGCCATACAGTTAGTTAATGAGGCAGGCACATTCAGGTCTCTCCAACTCCAGAAGCCAAGCCAATAGAGAAACAATCTTTGTTGCCCATCCTGCCCCTTCTCCCTTCCCCCTAGGTTGGGTGACTACAACTGTATTGTTTATATCCTTCCAAGATGGCACTCATCAAAGGACACTGTTGCTATCTGTTTACTGTTTGTTCCTCAAGGAGCTTGCTTGCTAGTTCAGTGTTCTTGTAGAATAGATGAGGCAATGAATGCTCAGAACGTGTACAGACATGTGATCTGGTGTTATATCAGACCTCTACATAGCAAACGCAGAAAAAGATTTTACTTTAAGTGTAAACAGTTTAACAGAAAGAGTCTCTTTGTTCTATTTCTTACATGTTAGGTAGATAAGTCTTCATAATTTTACCTCTGGCAACATCTTTATGTAATATTTTCCAGATAGTAGCATGTACATAATAAATTCCCATCTGGACTAATGAAGGAATAGAAGGGCAAATGATGATTCATAATAAACCTCCATGATTTCTAGTTGTTATCATCATCAATTAAATTAAAATGTGAATTAAATAATATATGGACAATATTTCTACTATCCAAGTAATATGCCCAGGAGATCTGTCCTCTGCCAATAGGACACATCACTGTTAATAATAATATTCAATTAGTGTTTAGAAATTCAGTGTGGTAAATAATCTACATAACAACTGGTCCCTGGTCACAAGGCATTTTTTTTCTTTCTAATTAAAATTTTTGGAAAAGACAAATTAAAGGTTGACATCATTCTTATTATTATAACTATGTAGTGAAAGAACACTAAGTTTCTTCAAAATGCATCCTCTTTAGAGGAAGAAAGAAAAGGAGATTTCTTTATTGTCTGTGACATTCCTCTTTTGAAAGTGTGAGATTTCATCAGGTTAGGAATGAACACATACTCTAATTTGGATTTGCAAATTTTCCACTTTTCTTCATCAGTATACTTATTGTCTTCTAATTTCCTAAAATTATACCTGGAAGTTTAGTGGTGATAAGAATGGTGACATCATTGTATTCATTAGGAAATGAATGATGGCCATGTGCTTTTAGTATGCCTAGAGGCGTATGTTTTAAGGTACTGTAGTTATGAATTTTAATTGCAACATGCAGCTGGTGATTAATGTGCATATGCCTTGTCTGAACGTCCCATGGATAACCTCAACTGTACTCCATGAACTTGGAAGTTTAACAGGAACATATCGATTTCTTAGTTTAATGGAAAATGACTGTTTAATATAAAATAATGCATTCATTTCATATAGCTACCTTTAAAGATATAGATCTCTAAAACTCAAGCCTTACATGTATTCAAAGTGATTAAGAATCAAACGAGGTAAGGAGAGAGCTTTCAAGCTGATGTAGTAAAGGTAAATAAATAAGATCATAATCTTTGCAATTCCTAAATGATGAAAATATACAAGTACATTATTAGAATTTTTGTTGTTCTTTCCTTCTTTATTTGAAAATATCTAGTACTAAAGAAGTTCAAATGCTGTACAAGAAAAAACACTTTAGAGTTTTACTTTTAGATTACTGCCTTCTATTACTAAGTAATAAAAACAAAGATTTTTAAGGTGGCCGCAAAGTACATTTTCTGGTTTAATTTTAATTCTTCCAGCACCACTAGAATGGGCATGTTTTGAATGCTTTCAGAGAATAGAAGCAATGCTCTCATTATATACCATTCATTCATTCTTTATGAATCCTTGATTCATATGATTTGTAGAATTGAAGAGTGAAGAAGATGAAATTGTTTCAATCTTAAAAATACTTTTAATTTTGAAATTTTTGTATTTGTATTGATATTGTTAAGTTTATTATTTCTGTGGTTTTTGACAGTAGCAGTAACAGCTTCTCTATGAAGCTATTCAGTGTTTGCTACAAACACTCCAAAGAAAAATTGTGTGTATAGAACATGCTCCTGTGCACACTAAGAGTTTAGCATCTAAGAAACAATTTAATATTTTTTTACAGTAAATGTCGGTTTCTTGAGGATTTTTCTAAATTTGTAGATTCGTTCAAGATTCAGTCAAAATACCTACTGATTGTGACTAACTGGAGAAACAATGTTATAGATTATTTTTGCATCTTTCCCAAAATTTTACATTAAAATCCTAACCCCCCCCCCCATGAGGATGGTATAGGAGGTGAGCCTTCTGGTATTTAGGTTTAGATGAGGTCACAAGTTTGGGGACCTCATGATGGATTATTGTTCTTATAAAAAGGGAGACATACACACACTCTCTACTTCCAACAAAGATCATCTGAGGACATCACCAGGAAGAGGTCCTTCACTAGAACCTAACCACGTTGGCACCCTGATCTCAGACTTCCCAGAGTGTGAAGGAATTTGAATTGTCTAAGCCACTCAGTCTATGGAATTGTGGGCATCCCAAACTAAGACAAACAATAATGTGCAGGCAGTTTACAAGAATGAAGGGAGAGTTATACAAGCAGCCTTTGGGAGGAACAGCTTCATAGGCCATCTTTATCCTGCTCTCTCCCTTATTATCTGTGTGCCTCCATTAAAGTTTTTCCAGTCTCTATCCTAGTGCCATGTTCTGAATGTTTGTGTCTCGTCAAAAATTCATATGTTGACATTCAATCCCCATTGTGATAATATTAGGAGGTGAGGGCTTTGAGAGGTGATTTGGTCATGAGGACTCTGCTCTCATGAATGGGATTAGTGCCCTTATAAGTGAGGCTTGAGGAAACTGGTTTGATCCTTTGACCATTTAAGGACAACTGGAAAGCGCTGTCTCTGAGGAATGGGTCATCAGCAAATACTGAATTTCAAAATTTTACATTTTGAAATCAAGACGTCTGTTGACTTCTTGATCTTTGACTTCCCAGGCTCTGTAACTGTGCGCAATAAATTTCTGGTGCTTACAAATTATCCAATCTAAGGTATTCTCTTATACTAGCCTAATCAGACTAAGGCACTTACCTTGAGACAGAGTGTGTGAACTTTTGGTTCAGGCATTTATGATTAGGGGTCAGGGTCAGTGGCATCAATAAAACCAATGCACAAATCAATATATATGTGTCATCCAATCTAATTTGTGCTTTTGTGTTTGTATCAGCCAGCAGCACTCAGCTGCCATTTATGCACTTTTTTTGTCAGAATTTCTATTTTTAACTAGTGTCTGGAGACACTTCAAAATTATTAAAGTAGAAGAAACTAAGATATATTGATTGTCTAATCTATATTAGGATATGAAACAGATTGTATTGCTAAGCATACCACTGATGCAGTCTAGTCTCTCAATGAGAGAAATACTACTATTTGTAATTATTAGAACAAAAATATACACTTAACTACTAATAGAATTTAGTTGTTTTCCCCCTCAAAGAAGTCATGCATTTTTATTCTCCATATTTTTTCAAAGAAAAATATTAAATCTGTGATATAAAACATAATATGCACTTATCCATTGTAGAACTTACCACACTGTGAATACTTATGTGGCTTGCTTACCACCTAGGGTCTGGAGCAAGGTCTTAATTTGAAGATATTCTGTATTATCTTCTCTATATTTTTAGTACTTACAAGAATACTTGACAATACATTAGAATTACATGCCTTTGTTGAAATGTTGATGTTAAAAACAGCATGTGTCTGACCAGAATCCTCATTCAATAAGATGTTCTTTATTGAGTAAGCACGCTCTGTGTGACAAATCTGGGTAAGATGCTGCTCAGGTAATAGATGTTAAGCAAACTGATATGGCCCATGGCCTACGGCTGGTGGAGCACATAAAAGGCAATCAAAAAGTCCTGCAAATAAGTGGAAAATTAGAGTTATAAGGTCTCTGAACAAAAGCTACTTTGTGCCATAAGCAAAATTCATGACAGGATATTTAGGGCTGTAAACTAATAATTTCCTGTCAATAGCAAACATATTGCTTACAGTAGTTTAATTTTCTGGTGACTTTTGCCTCAATAATATTTATTGGCCATATTGCATTACCTTATTTATCAAATATTAGAAAATTGCATGCTTACTGTTACAACAATGAGAATAAAAACGACTAGTACTGATGAGGAATGTATTATTTTATTAGTGTGTGAATTTGAGAATAATTATCAATTCAAGTTTGTGTAAAATAATTCATGTAAATAGTTATTTTTAAATTAGTTTTCTCAGTGCTTTTGATATCCTATACTGCTTTACTGCTTTCTGTGTTCCTTAATGGATCTGAAGATATTTCTAAAGTTATAAAATGTAAAATCCAGTAAAATTAAAATACTTCAGTTTCAATATCCCCAAAGCATATAAACAAAAGTATATATATATATATATGAGATACAAAAGTATAAATATATACAAATATGTATTTAAAGTTTGTATTAGTTCATTTTCACACTGCTGATAAAGACATACCTAAGACTGGGCAATTTACAAAAAAAGAGGTTTAATGGACTTAAGAGTTCCACATGGCTGGGGAGGCTCCACAATCATGGTGGAAGGTGAAAGGCATGTCTCACATGGTGGCAGACAAAAGAAGAGAGCTTGTGCAGGGAAACTCCCCTGGCCCCTCCTAAATCTCATGTTCTCACATTTAAAAACCAATTATGCCTTCCCAATAGTCCCCTAGAGTCTTAACTCATTTCAGCATTAACTCAAAAGTCCACAGTCCAAAGTCTCATCTGAGACAAGGCAAGTCCCTTCTGTCTATGAGCCTGTAGAATCAAAAGCAAGTTAGTTGCTCCTCCATGAGGGCCCCAGCCCTGCAGCAAATGTCTTCTTGGGCATTCAGGCATTTCCATACATCCTCTGAAATCTAGGCAGATGTTCCCAAACCTCAATTCTTGACTTCTGTGCACCCACAGGCTCAACACCACTTGGAAGCTGCCAAGGCTTGGGGCTTCCACCCTCTGAAGCAACAGCCCAAGCTCTATACGTTGGCCCTTTTAGTCATGGCTGGAACAGCTGGGAAGCAAGACACCAAGTCCCTAGACTGCGCCCAGCACAGGAAAACTGGGCCTGGCCCACGAAACCATGTTTTCCTCCTAAACTTCTGGGCCTGTGACGGGAAGGGCTTCCTCAAAGGTCTCTTCTGTTAACATAACCTGGAGACATTTTCCCCATTGTCTTGGTGATTAACACTTGACTCCTTGTTACTTATGCAAATTTCTGTATCCAGCTTGAATTTCTCCTCAGAAAATGGGATTTTCTTTTCTATAGCATTGTCAGGCTGCAAATTTTCCAAACTTTTATGCTCTGTTTCCCTTTTAAAACAGAATGCCTTTAACAGCACCCAAGTCACCTCTTGAATGCTTTGCTGCTGAGAAATTTCTTCTGCCAGATACCCTAAATCATGTCTCTCAACTTCAAAGTTCCACAAATCTCTAGGGCAGGGGCAAAATGCTACCAGTCTGTTTGCTAAAACATAACAAAAGTCACCTTTGCTCCAGTTCCCAACAAGTTCCTAATCTCCATCTGAGACCACCTCAGCCTGGAACTCTTTGTCCATATCGTTATCAGAATTTTTGTCAAAGCCATTCAACAAGTCTCTAGGGAGTTCCAAACTTTCCCACATTTTTCTCTCTTCTTCTGAGCCCTCCAAACTGTTCCAACTTCTGCCTGTTACCCAGTTCTAAAGTCACTTCCACATTTTCAGGTATCTTTTCAGCAGCACCCCACTCCTGGTGCCAGTATACTATATTAGTCTATTTTCATGCTGCTGATAAAGACATACGTGAGACTGGGCAATTTACAAAAGAAAGAGGTTTAATGGACTTACCGTTCCACATGGCTGAGGAGGCCTCACAATCATGGCAGAAAGTGAAAGGTATGTCTCACATGGTGGCAGACAAGAGAAGAGAGCTTGTGAAGGGAAACTCCTCTTTTTAAAATCATCAGATCTCCCAAGACTTATTCACTATAATGAGAACAGCACGGAAAAGACCTGCCCCTATGATTCAATTACCTCCCACCAGATCCCTCCCACAACATCAGAATTCAAGATGAGATTTGGGTGGAGGCATAGCCAAACCATATGAAGTCTTATTTGAATTTTAGCATTAAGACTATTTTATTACAAGGAAATAAGCTTTTACTAGTCTACAGATAAGGGCCTCTGTGTGTTCTGGCCCTTATAACAGTTCTGGATCTTATAAGCACACAGAATTGTTCTGTTATTTTTGTAGTGCCTCTACAAGGAGAAAACTTCTCAAAATAGTCATCTGTTACCTAGACGTGTTGTCACAGACTTGGTATTGCATAAGGAGATTCTACTCTAAAAGATCTTAGATTTTTCTTTATTTTTTGTGAACTTACTTGCTCAATTAAGTGTACTATTTAGAGTTATCTAAAATGTAATTGACCTTTTTGTCATCAGTTTCACTAGAATGTAAGTATACAGTAACTATTTTTCCTTATTACCATTAATCTTTAAAATTATCTTTATGAGTAAGCACTCAAGTTCATTGATAGGGAGGTGATGCAAGAACTCTGAAGACTGAGTTCATATTCACTTACATAAATTATTTTTGAAGGCACCACATATAAATACACTTAATTATCTGTGGTATGAGGAGAACTAGTGAGCTTAGGTAAATATCCTTATCATTAGAAATAAGCAAAAACTATGCAAGACCTATTATTGTAGTAAAATCAATTTAATTAAAAGTACATTAATAAAAAATCTGTGTTAAGATTGCTCCAGGATACAAAATTTACCATTATACAATGAAGAAATGAAAAGATGCAAAGTTAACATTAATCAAGCAAGCAACAGCACAGGAAGTATATTAACCAGGACAAGCTATTTAAGACCACAATCTTTTACAAACCAAGAAAATAATTAAGTGCAAATAGTTTATATTCATTAAGTATTCCAGGAAGAACCTTTGTTTTGCCAAAAGTGGTTACTCTACTTAAAATTGTAATAGGCATTTGGGAACAATATAATCATGTTTGTTTAAAAAATAATCAAGTTTGTTTTAATGCAAACTCTATGAAATGTTCTTAAAAAGTAATCATCCAACTGACAGTATAAAATCAATTATGTGTTTCATAATGCACTGTAAATACACTTATGACTTCAGAAAGACTGGAGGTATCACAATAAGAGTTGGAGTACTGATAATTGACTTTTGTTACAAGGAGTATATTAAATATGAAAGATCCAAAAGAGAAAAAAAATGAAAAGAAAAATGCCCCAAATCAGAAAGATAGAGATTACAGCAATTAAGAAATTAAAGGTAAGGAGTTTAGGCAGCGCTCAGCAATGACATTAGGCATAAAATATGATGCAAGGTATTTGAACACTTAAATAACTAGGAAAATAAATTTAGACTTTATTCATATGCTTAGAAATAGAACATACAATTACATTGTATTTCAATAAGAGAATAGAGGAATATGCAAAATTCAAACACTGCCAATTTAAACTTGACTTTGATTGGATCATTTCCATTCTCATGCATCTGGCTTCCAACATGTGACTGAGAAACTTTATCCACCTATCTTATTTAATTTTCTGATGCTTTAACAAAATACCACAGACTAGGTAATTTATAAAGAAAATAAGTCTATTTTGCTCACAATTCTGGAGGCTGAGAAGTCCAAGAGCATGGGGACAGCATCCAGGGAGAATCATCCCATGGCAGAAGGGTGGATGGTGGAAGCAAGCACAGGAGACAAAAAGAGAACATCAAGTTGGATTCATCCTCTTATCGTAAATCTAGTCCCAAGATAACTAACCAACTCCCCATAATGGCATTAATCCCTTCATGAGAGCAAAGTCATCCTGGCCTAATCATCTCTTTACAATCCTACCTCTTAATACTATTACAACAGCAATTAACTTTCCAGCACACAAACCTCTGGAGGACACATTCAAACCAAAGCCCTACATTTATACTCTTGGTTATGATAATATGCAGATTAATGGCCAACAGTTGATAGCATGAAAATTTTAAAACTCAACAGTAGTTGATTTGCTAGCTTTGTTTGTTGGGAGACAAAGAGATGGCACTTCCTATATAAATATCCTATACATATATATAATATATATAATAAATATATATTTATATATAAAATAATATATATTTATATATAATAATATATTATATATAATTATTTATATTATATATAAAGAATAAATATATATATTTATTATATATATTTTACGTATATTTATATATATTTCATATATATAAATGCTTCAGTAAAGATGGTATAATATAGAGAAAGTATTTTAGGTGGAGCCTTTAAAGGTGACTGAGGTAATGATTCTGGCAAAATTAAAACAAAGCAGAAAATATGTTTCTATTCCTAAGAAATGTCAACAGTTACCCCACCCCCAAAAAGGAAAAAAAAAATGAGAAAAGTAATAAAGTTGTGTAATAGTTGCCTAGAGTATTTGTTATTGGCCACTTTTCCACTGTTCCCTTTGTTCACAGTTGGCTTATCTTTCCCAGCATCTCTTTATGTTGATGTGGCTGCATGGCTGAATTTTAGCCAGTGGATTCTAAGCTGAATGATAAGCACTGTTTCCAATCTTGGCCTATAAACACTTTCTTCTGTCCAAGTGGTTCCCAATTGCTGGAACCACTTGTTCCAGCAATTTTGTTCCCTGTGGGATACATGGCAACATCCAAAGAAATTTTGGATTTTCATGTTGGGGAGTAAACTACTTGCATTTAGTAGAAGTCAGTGATGCTGCTAAATATTTTACACTAAGCAGGACTATCCCCACAAGAAAGAATACCCTATTCCAAGTGCCAGTAGTACTGAGGGTGAGAATCTCTGACCTACTGTATTTTCCATCTACTGTCTGTATATTTGGTGTTTAGAACAAATTAGTTCTGGAGATCTGCTGTTCAGCATAGTGCAATACAGCCTTGTACACTTAAAAATTTAAGCAGTTAGATCTCAAGGGAAGGTTACTACTCTACACACACACACAGAGCAAAGAGATAAAAGGAAATTTTGAGGAATGTTGAATGTGTTTATTACATTGATTATGGTGGTGGTGTCATGGGTGTATTAGTATGTCCAAACTAGTGAAATTGTATACATTAAATATATGCACTTATTTGTATCAATTTTTCCTCAGTAAAGTTATAAAAAAGAAATTATTTGTGAATAAAAACTAAAGTTCTGTTATAGTTTTGTCATTATATATATATATATATGCACACATATATTTCATATTATAGTAGTAACCCTATCTTAACTAATAGAGAAATAAGTACATTAATTTTAGATATGCATTTCAGTATTATAATTCCTGTAGTGGAAGGTGACCAGAAGAATTTTTAAAAGAAAAAAAATAAAACCTGCTACGATGCAAAATAAAGATTACATTTTATTAGTAAGATTGGCAATTTTCATTTTGAACGACACCTAATCTGCTGAAATGAAAAATGGGAGGAACCAAACACCTACGTTACTGAGGAAAGTGCAAATAAAAAGTCTAGAGTTTATTTTTAAAATATATAAAAACCTTTAAAATATGTATAGTTCACATGGAATTTATACCAAGGAAATACTTATGAACTCTGCCTTAGTAATATTTATTATAGAAATAGCCAGTAAAGCATGTAATTTCTGAAAATATAAGAGTTTAATAACCTCCTGTGGTATATATCAATATGATTAAGTAATTTCCACTATTAAATGTTATTGGTATTTTTAAATGGCACATTATAATATATAGAAATATATAGAAGTGAGCTAGAAGGAATTTATAATCTAAGAAGAGAACAGTGGTTATCTGCAGGTGGTAGAGGCAGCTTTCTGTTTTATTCTTATCTCTATATTCTTAATGTTATTTAAAAATATGATACTTTTGTAATCATAAAATCTTATTCCGATGAAAACAGGCTTTAAAGAACTACTGGGTCTGGGCATGGTGGATCACACTTGTAATCCCAGTGCTTTGGGAGGCTGAGGTAGTGGGAATGCTTGAGGCCAGGAGTTTGAGACCAGCCTGGGCAACAACATAGCAAGTCTCTCTCTCTAAAACAAACAAACAAACAAATAAACAAAAAGCTGCTGGGTCTACATCTTGATTAAAGTCTTAAAGTATGGCATCTTAGAAAAGCACTCCTGGACTTTTCTATCAGGGCCACCCACCAATGTCTCCTTTCTTTTCAACCTTTTTTCCTTTTGCTTAACTCCTGTTACATACATTTTGGCTGGTGGTCATAATAAAAAAAGACTAAGAAAAATGGCTTAATTAAGAGTGAAAATCAATGCATGAAAATATTATGGAAGTGATATAACCAGATTTATAATGTACAGTCTACTCACTACTTCATAGTTTTGACCTATTTCTGTGCCATAGCATAATTACTGAAAGTTAGAAATAAGCTCAGCTGCTCATAACATGAAACAGAAATCACAGTTGCTGAAACAATAGAGAATGTATTTTGCTCATATAAGCAGAAATTTGGAAGTGTGTGGTGATCCAGTTTTGGTGCTGGGCTACACATTAAAATGAAGGACCAGCAAAGTTTTTCCTTAAAGTTAGTTCCACGGTATGAAATCTTCATTGCCATATATCTGCAGGTGATACAAGGGACAAATGACAAAAGTTCATGCAGACCAAGTCTGCCATTTAGACAGAACAAGACCCAGTGACTTCTGCTTACATTTCATTGGTCAAATCTAGGTCACATGGCCACCTTTAGTTGCAAGAAAAGCCAGGAAACGTAGCCTTTTGGTTGCATATGTTACCACGCCTGTCCTTCCTTATTAAGCAAGAAGGGGAGAATATGTATTGGATGGGCAACTAGCTGTGTCTGCCACAAATACATATTCTTTCTCTTTTCCCAGAAGTCATCTCGCTGGCCAGTTCTACACTTACAGTATCTCTAATTTTGAATTTGGATATGTATGTTTAATCTTTTAAAACTGTTAGTGTTTCCTTCAGCTTCAAATGAGAAAATAAACAATTTTTCTTTATTCTTCTAGCAACAGTTCCTGGGTTGAAGTTTCATATTACAGGCTGCAAAATTAACTGTGTTTTGACCCATCCACAGATCTGTTTAAGGAGAAAGTATATTAGTATGCTGTATTTGAGAATGGATTTTTGATGAAAAATGGCTAAAGGAAAAAAAAATGTAATTTTATTTTCATCAGCCAGAGGAAAAGAGCAAGTGTTATGATAACACATTTGAAGACCTATACCAGTAATGAATCCTGGTGCCTCAAGTGAAAGTAAATACTTGCAGTATTGAAAAATATGGAGGTAACTTAAACCTGAATACAAAATCAAACTATAAGAGAGAGAGAGAGAGAAGAGAGAGACCAAGAGAGATAAAGAGAGAGGAGTTGAAAAAAGAGGAGAGGAGGAGGGAGGAGAAGAGATAAAAGGGTGGAGATACAGCTGAGATGACCAATAGAAAAAGACAGATAAATCAACAGACACAGCTGCTATGATTTGAATGTCCCTTTCAAAGCTCATGTTGAAACTTATTCCCCAATGTGGCAGTATTGAGAGGTTGGGTTAAATCATGAAGGCTCTGCTCACATTCACAGATTAATGGGTTACTGGATTAATGGGTTACCATAAGAGAGAGACTGATGACTTTAAAAGAAGAGGAAGAGAGATCCAAACTAGCACACTCAACCACCCTCACCACATGATGCCCTGCACCACCTCAGAACTCTGCAGAGAGTCTCCATCAGCAGGAAGGCCCCCACCAGATGCAGATCCTCAACCTTGGACTTCTCAGCCTCCATAATTATGAGAAATAAATTCCTTTTCTTTATCCAGTTTCAGGTATTCTATTATAAGCAATGGAAAACACATTATGACCACATAACAAAAGAGATTTAAAAAAAGAGAAAGTAATTCCTTTTAATTTTTTATTTTAGATTCAGGTGCACATGTGCTTTTTTGTTACTTATTACATGTGTATGGTGGGGTTGGGCTTCTAGTGTACCCATCACCCAAATAGTGGACATTGTTTCTTCAATGAGATTTTTATAAAACTTTAATTATAGAACTAGAGTTAGAAAGATTAGAAGATTTCCTTTTTCTATAATAAAAAGTATAAGCTGATAATAAAATAAATTAGAAAGACTAAGTAGCACAATTTAAATGAGGAATACAGAGGGAAATGTTCAATTTTTATTGAAAAAATGACAAAGTGGTGTTTTCATATTTGCTGAGCCATTATGGCTTTTATAAAATCATGGATGATTTGAGGAATTATGTTTTTCTTTTCTTTATATGATCTAAATGTTTTTTCCCTCCTTATAATACAAAGAGTGAAATCATCACTTTGATATTAAGCACATTTATTTCCAATTTCTTGATACGACCTAAAGGTACATTTAAGTGGGAATAAAAGCCAAAGCAAATGAAGTGAATTACTGGCAGTGATTATTGTCAATATGTAAATCAGACATGGGGCATATTTATCCTTACAACATACTTCAAATCTTCAGAGCAAATAAGTGAATAGATTCTTAAAATTCCATGAAGCTTTTAACCATTACACTGGAGGGCTGGATAAAAATCTATTCATTCTGGACATCCTAGCACTCATCCAGCTAAGAAGGTAACTATTTATAACCACCTAATTGTTTAGTATCACTTAGACTTTTAAAGCAGAATCCATAGTAGTGCAAATCAGAATAAATAAGTCTGAACACACACAGCCTCCAGTGTCAGGAAGTAGACCAAAGGAGGTCCAGTGCCCAGGCCAGCAGGCTGCTCATTCCATACTATTTATGGTGTAAATTTGATTTCCAAAGAGTCTCACATTGAGCCCCTCACCCAAGTCACTGATTTGACTTAGAATACAATTCTAATATTCTACCCTGTCTGTGGAGAGCTGGACACTCACTGGGGTGACCTGTCTAGCAAGAAGGAGCTACCATCTCTGCTGAGATCTGAGGAAATGACGGGACAACCAGCTGCAGAGAGGGACTACCATCTCTACCAAGAGCTGGACACTAAATAATTAGGTGGTTATAACTTTCAGCTCTCAACACACAAAGACTAGAATGCAGAAATTAAAGAAGAAAAAAGAAGAAATTTGGGGACCATAATTTATTCTGAATTCACAAATGCAAAAGTCTGTGTTCACAAAGAAAGTGCTCATTACTTAATTCTTAAGTACCTCTTACACATTCTGTGTAGAAGGACTAATGTGTGCAAGGATCCTGATATAGGAATAGAGGAGGGGCATAGCAAAGCCACTGAACAGAATGGATATTAGCCAAAGCGCAAATTGGGGTAGAAGTTCAGAGGGAGTTAGAGTCAGATATAAGAACAAAATATGCAAGGTCTTATAGGTTATATTATGCATTCTATTTTCTCTCTTTAAGAACTAGAGAAAACCACAGATTGTTTTTATAACTTTTATAAAACATCAATTTAGTTTGCATACACATATATACAGCTATAATGCACATAATATTAATTTGCCATTGAAGGATTATAGGTAGTTTTTATGGACACAATGTCATAAAAATGTCACCCTTGGTGGCGTTTGTTGAATACATTGAAGGTAAGTAAGAATCAATTAAGAAAGAACCAAATTACGGGACTCTTGCAGTAGGTTAATTAAAAAATGGTTGATGTTAGCTAAGAATGGGACTGGTAAGATAGAGAGGGCCGGGCGCGGTGGCTCAAGCCTGTAATCCCAGCACTTTGGGAGGCCGAGGTGGGCGGATCACGAGGTCAGGAGATCGAGACCACCCTGGCTAACACGGTGAAACCCCGTCTCTACTAAAAAAATACAAAAATTAGCCGGGCGTAGTGGCGGGCGCCTGTAGTCCCAGCTACTCGGGAGGCTGAGGCAGGAGAATGGCGTGAACCCGGGAGGCGGAGCTTGCAGTGAGCCGAGATCGTGCCACTGCACTCCAGCCTGGGCGTCAGAGACAGACTCCGTCTCAAAAACAAAAAAAAAAAAAAAAAAAGATAGAGAGATACAGAAATCCCATAATCTTACACAAACATAAAATTGCCAGACTGTGAGAATAGATTAGACATAGGTGGTGACTTAAAAAAGGGTGTTCAAATTAGTCTCAAGTGTGAGATTTGTCAACTGCATTGGAATTGGGTCCATTTACTGAGGTAAATAAGAGTGAATAAATAACATGTTTGGCAGGATTGATATGGGGTTATTCTTGAGATGTTGCCCTTGAGGTATCTTTAAGACATCGGAGTAGGAATGTGAAGTATGCAATTGGATATATGAGGCAGAAAGCGTCTGGGCTGGAGGTTTAACATTGAGTCAAGTGGGAAGATGCTATTACCTAAGGAGATTGCATAAGAAAAAAAAAGAAATAGCTTCAACATTTCACCATGAGAAATCTCAACATTAAATAACTGCTTGGAAGAAGAAAAAGGAGTGAAGACTGGGAAAGGGCTTTCTGAAAGATAGCACTGTTGGGCCAGAGACAAATAGTTTGTGGAAAGGAAATAATTTGGATGGTCAACAGCTACCAATAAAGATGGAAGATGAATGAAATAAAGTAAAATATGTTTATGAAATTCAGGAATTTGAATTAAAAAGTTGCCTTCATGTGAAGAAGTCATTTATCAGTGGGATGGAGGCCGAGGGAGATGTATCTGAAAAGAAGATATTCAATAAGAATATAAGAAAGTTTTTACTAAGATGAGGAAGGTTTAAACATTAGAAATGCTCTCAAGAATGATTCTGTAATAAGTGGAAAACCATGTATATAGCATGGCACACACAAACAACTGTGAAGCTCATTAGATATTTCTTTCTCTGCAATATTATTACTTTGTTTTCCTTCTGTGATTAGTATGCCATCTGCATCCTATTTGATATAATTCACTTTCCTCCAGTTTTTGCTCCCCTTAAGTCTCTTAAATCCTTCTCCCATAGATTTTGGGAAAAAAAATTTCAGCTAGAAAATTGCATTCCTATGAGATGCTTGATGAAAACATATACAATCAATATATTGAGAACATACAAAGGCATCCTCTTTGTGAGGCCAGGAGCTGTGCTGGTAGAAGATGGTGATGGGAAGCAGGCCATGGTTTATTTTTAGCGATTCTATACTATTGTCCATAGTTTCACTGAAGGATTTTGAGTTCAAAAACACTGTTCTGCTGAGCACATTGGTGCACACCTATAATTCCAGATACTCAAGAGGCTGAGGAGGGAGGATTACTTGAGTCCAGGAGTTTGAGACCATAGTAATTTATGATCATGCCTGTGAATAGCCACTGCACTCCTGGGCAATATAGTGAGACCCCATTCATAAAACAAATAAACAAACAAAACCTAAAACTATTATTTGAATTATATTGGCATTTCAATGTAGCAGAGACATTTTGCTACATTGAAATCAAATTCAAATTCAAATGAAATATAATAAATTGTTGCTGAATTCATAGTAGTATGTGTACAATACTGATTTGAGCTGCCTGGTTTTGAAATCTACGTCTATAACCTTGGACAAATTACTTAACCTGTCCGTTACTTGATTTTCCCATATGTAGAATGGGTATAACAACCTTACGTAGTTATTGTGATGGTTTAACAGAGAATTTAAGTGAACACAGGAAACACCTAATTACTATTACTACTAGTATTGTAAGAAATATACAGTATTTGCTTATAAACATTTGATATAGTTAGGCTTTGTGTCCTCACCCAAAGCTCACCTTGAATTGCAATCCCCATAATCCCTACGAGTCAAGGGTGAGATCAGGTGGAGATAATTGAATCACAGGGGCAGTTTTCCCCATGCTCTTCTCGTGACAGTGAGTGAATTCTCGCAAGATCTGATAGTTTAAAAGGGGCTTTTCTCCCCTTCGCTTGGCACTTCTCCTTCCTGCTGCCTTGTGAAAAAGGTACCTTGCTTCCCCTTCACCTTCTTCCTAGATAGTAAGTTTCCTGAGGTATCCCCAGCCATGCTGAATGTGAGTCATTTAAACCTCTTTCCTTTATAAATTACCCAGTATCGGGCAATTCTGTATAACAGTATTCAGATGGACTAATACAACATTGCTATCTCTGTTATTAATAATTGCTTCTTGTTTACGAAACAAATGCTACAGTCATGCTGTGTATGTTAGAGATGTATTATGTGAATTCAAAACAAAAGACCTATTGTTGACATTTGATAATCCATTAAATATTTGAATTATATTTAAATATCTTTTACCATTATGTTAATACACGGTAATCTGCATAATAAAAGGACTTTATGTACTAGAGTTCTACCTCCTTTTCAAAAATAAAAATATCTAACACCAGGAAATTTGTGTGACTTATACAAGTTCATAAAGCCATGTGAAAGAAATTCCCTTAGTTAAAAAAAAAGTGGTTAAAAAAGTCAAAATTTGACCAAAAAGAGTAACTAATCAATTACTTTGAGATTTTATATATAATTGTTATTGTAAAATAATTCTTATATCATGGCTCATTATGTATCATCCAAAAATCTGCATAAATGAAATGAACACTTTAACAGAACTATGTACTAAAGTTTAAAGAAAGCTACAAAGATTTTATGACATTAAAGTGGGTGATAAACTGTCATTTTACTGAATATTTTAAATCAGCCAAGTTTATTAAAATGTAATGAAGCATTATTACATTCAGCTCACATGAGGCACTGAAGTCATTTTCAAGATAAGTACTTTTGTTTGTAAAGAGTAATTTACAAACTAAAGTATGTGAATTATTTTCTATTTTTCATAATAGCCTATGGCAACATAAAGGATGTTTAAATAGATGATAAACAATATTCAGCAATATGAAAGTAAACTGCAAAAATAATGATGTGTGGGTTTTTAGGCTATAAACGGTTTTCCATCACTCCTGGTTGAATGATTTTTATCTTTGATTGCTGTGAGAACTAGCTGCTTCATTTGTAAAATGGAATGACTAATACTAAGGTAGTCCTCCTCGGGAGCATGATGTGAGATTTTGTTGCACAAGATAAATGATTAGATAAAAGGTATCTGGAATATTTATGATCCTTTGAGAGACATCATTTCCTTTCATTTCTTACATTTGTCTTTTAACTGGTTCTCATAGTTTAAATATGCTACAATTTTTGGTTTAGTTTTATCTTCAGCTTTTCATTATCATAAAGTTGAAATGAGCATATATTTGCATAAAACATTTCTATATTTATAATTTCTCTGGCTAGATTTACAGAGTAAACCCCTAAAGCCAGGTTTACAAATATGTTAGGATAGTTAATATTATTATAAACTCCATGTTATTTATTAATGGGAGAGGGATCTATAATTGGTAAAATTTAGAGCAGAGAAAATGAGTTGTTGTTGTTTTCCTTGCCCTTGCAAAGAGTTTTAGAACCTCAGCCTTCACTGTTGGGGAGGAGTGACTGGCTGACTAGTTATAATTATGTAAATATTGTCAGCAATCAGGGTTGTTTTCCCTTCTTTGCCCAGCAAGCCACTTGCAATATATTAGCAAATACTTCCCACTGAAACGATGTTAAAATCCTGTGCCAGAACTACATCTTTAGGGAATGCAACAGCTGACAACAAATTTCATCAAAAAAATTTTTTAAGGCTTACTACTAATTGACAGCATTCAAGTAATCTATTTATATCCTGGCTTTATGCCGTTGCCATACAAATGAAGTGTTAATGTAGATAAGTGATTGTGTTTATTTTTCCTGTTTATGGCAGTTTGGCTTATTTTTTAACAAAGTGTTGGCCAAAATCTGTTGCTGTTTCTTTTGATGGGACTCATTGCATATGTGTTAATGTCCATCTTCCTTTTTGTTCCGTATGACTCCTTGACTGCATCTTCCATTGCTACCAAACCACATTTCCCAGTTTCCTTTATCTGCATGATTCTTTCATATGAAGTTGTCCAGGCAGCCTCCACTCCACTTCCTAGACCTGAATTTATCTTTTCTCAATTAAACTTTGTTATATATATGCCATAACTTCCTTGGGGTCTGATTTTCCCTGAGCCTAAATGAAAATTTCCTTCTAGGTAAAAATAATGGTTTAGGTTTCACATTCCTTGAACATAAGTTTTAATATTTAAAAGGTAATATCTCATTTCTTAAACCAGAGGAGTGCATACTGCAGACAATAATGGAACTTTTTGGTATGATTAGGTAGTATCCTCACTGCGAGTTCTCTAGTCATGTTGCTACTTAGAGTTCAGTGCACACTTGATTCTGTGGTGCTTTTCAAGTTTTTTCAAAACCTATACAAAGGATCAATCTAAATAAACTCATGTGTAGAAACAAAGAAACAAAGAATTATGGTATATTCACCCTTTAATTGTGAATTAATGATTCTTATTAAATATAATTTTTAAAAATGCTTATTTCTTATTTGTATACATTCAAGCAATTTACTAATACTAGTAATTGTGTTTAGGGAAAGATGTGAGGGGAGGTAGCATGCTTTTGTGGAAGAGCCTGTCCTAAGAGTCTACGAATCTAATTTCTGGCCAGCTTTCTTACAGTAAATGGCAGAGTGGCCTAAATATCTTGTTTCTTTGATCTGTAAATTGAGGAATGGTGTTACATGATTTCTGAAATTTATTTAACAATCTTAAATTGATGACTAGGGCATATGTAAAGCAAAATCTTTCAGGATTATTTTTATGGTAAAAATCTTACCATTGAAAAATTTTAAGGTAAGAAACTTAAAAGCAAAATCTATCTGAAATAAATTTTAAGGTTAAAAAGCTTACTAATAAAAAGTTTACCTTTTTAAGGTCAATAATTTACAATGAAATATAATATTTCCTAAAAAATAGTCTCTGTACGCAGAAAGAATATGTTTATTTGAGAATTTTCTAAAACGTCTGCATTGGAGTAGTGCTAAATAGAATAATTCCTGCTAAATTATTTAAAGAAAACAAAACAAAGGATTTTTCAAAAGGGCTAGGCACTGATAATGAGGTTCTTGTATTCAACCCAGATCATAAAGACAAACAAGAGAGAAGCTAATTTTGTTCAGGATATTCACTTGGCTGCAGCTAATTCTTTGTTAGGTGTTAGATTAAGTGGTGGAAGACTCTGTGGTTGAAGCTCTGAAATGATCAAGTATTCTCATTGATTGTACCATCTCATTAGCTTTCTATTTGTATAAATAAGGTTTCTTTGCTTCCTCTAATTGCACATTAGAAGTATCAGGCTCTACTGGGAAGCCGAAATCCACATTCTAATGCAAGATCTACAGAGATGTAATTACAAAGAATTTAGAAAGTTACCCATCTCAGATTCCTCAAGTCCTTAATCTAATGAAAACTTTGAGCTGTTTGTTTTTTGTTTGTGGGTTTGTTCTCACCCTGAAAAAGCAAAGTGTTTTTAATCAATGAATGTTAAATAGTTATTACTACATCAATATTATATTTAATTTTTAAGGGCTAAAATCATTGCAAATCATGAATTCTTTAAAAACTCACAATTAAAAAATATCTAGATGGAAATATTGTATTTAAATTATTGAGTAAATGAAGCACAAAATATGTTTCAAAATTAAAGTCATGAATAAAACCCTGGGCCAGGCAGTGGCTCATGCCTGTAATCCCAGCATTTTGGGAGGTGGAGGCAGGGAGATTACTTGAGCCCAGAACTTCAAGACCAGCCTGTGCAACATGGTGAGACTTCATCTTTACAAAGATTAAAAAATGAAAAATTAGCTGGGCGTGGTGATGCATGCCTGTAGTCACAGCTACTCCGGGGGCTGAGACGAGAGGATCCCTCGAGTCCAGGAGGACAAACTTGGTGAATATGTAGTGGAGCTAATATGTATAATTTTCAACACAGACCGATAAGAGAGATTAAACGTAGTAATTATTGTCAGTCAGGTATTAATCTCTTCACGTTGGAATTTTAATGTAGTGAGGCATATAAATTCTTGTCCTGTTATATAGCATGCACTATCATTTAATAACCAATGCATAGTCATAACTAACTGGGTCTAAGCCAAGTTGTAGTTAGAGTAACCTTGAAATAGAGAAAATTCCCAGAATATATTTTGAGTGTGTTTTGGGTTTCTAGCATATGTGTGTTTGCATATAAATACATGCTTGCTTTGTTCATCCAGTTTTGGTGTGAGTGGTTATAAAATAAACTCCAAATATCTCCATGCTTTTCAATGCTTTCAAAAATGTATTTAATATTTTAATTATTTTCCTTGAAAGCATGAAAGAAATGAAATGTGAATGCATTCAACTCCAATGCATTTTTTTCACATTTATACTGGACTAGATCCTAGCCAGTAATAAAGTATTATAAGAACATGATTGAACATATGATAAAATTTCAATATTGATTTTGACTTAGATAGTCATATTCTATATATGTTAAATTTCCTGATTTTCATAAATCCATTTTGTTGATATAAAATAATTCTATTTTTAGAAAATTCATTGAAATACTTAGAAATAAAAGAGAAAAATGGCTGCAACTTAAATTTTAGTAATTCTATAAAACTGTGTGTATGTGTATAGACATATGTATGTGTGTATATATACAGGGATCAGATGTGTGTGTACCTATATATGTATATGTGTGTATGTATGCACGAGAGAGAGAGAAAAAAACTATGATAAAACAAATTGCACTCAAATGTTAGCATTTGATGAAAATGCTCAAAGTGATAAAGTGGTATTCAAGTGTTTTTCTCCATTCAAGCAATGTTTTTGTTTATTTTTTAAATTATAAAGAATTATATATATGTGCACAGTACATAGGTATGACTTTGATTCTAGCTGAGTGATTCATATAATGTATGCAAATAGATACCAAATCTAACAGGAAAAATTTCCCAAGTATAAAAATTGATTTCATTAACACTATATAAAATCCACATTATCACAGTATTATTTTATTTGCTAAATATTTTTCATACAACACTGAGACAGGTATTATATCTCCTAACTGCATATAGTAATCCAAGCTTCGAGATAGAGGTAATTTCTCTAAGCAGCAGGGGAAGACTAGGTACAAAATCACATTCCCAAACCCTGTTTTTTTTATTTTCCATGTATAAATACTATCAAACTTCTACTTCAAACAATATAATTAAAATGTGGCTGAGGTTTCTTCTATTCAACATATGGAAAACATCTGTTTCTTAATGGACACAAAGAAAATTCAACAGATTTAGATCTTTCTTTAAATCCATCATCTTGTTTTTATTTCTACTGCTGTTTTAATTCCAGGCCTTAACATGAAAATGGTCCCATTGGGTACTAAAACAGCTAGATAAATTTACTTGTTACTGCAATTGACAATTTTATTGATAGAGATAAATTTGTACTGTTGAACTCTAAATGAAAAATAAAATACATCCCCCCCTATAAGCCTTTGCCTTGACGAAAGTAGTAGTATGATGGAAGACTATTTCCTTCAGTGAAATGTACCTAATTTATGGAGAAAAGCAGTTCTCACTTTTGCTACATTGCAAGATTTTGTTTGGTTTATCTCTGCCTCTGACTTATTCACCAGATCTTGACAGAGCATGGAAGGAATTTTATTAAGAGGTTGGGCGATAAAGAGTCACTCGACCTCTTGAAACGTGATGGTTATTTCTTATGTAGGAGGGTGTCTTCTTTCTTCAGACAATGATCAGCTGGGATTATTTTATTTGTTGCCTTTGTATTACCCCCAAGACAAGCAAAAAGTAAAATGTAGGATTGGTGAGGAATTCTTTATTTGTTCCAGAATAAAAGCCCTTCTTCTAATAGAGGTGATTTCTTATCAAGCTCCCTTTTAGTCAGACTTGTAATTTAAATTTAATTTAAATAAATATCTATAATAGATCAACTTTTATGCACATAGCATAGAAGAAAATATATACCTTTATACATTAGAATTATAAACTAAAATTATGTATGCAGAATGAATATACAGATAAGTTATGTTTGCTTTATCACAGTCGTTCAAAACACCTAATTTACAGGTGTAGAATTGTGTATATATGGGTATTTTATATGAACACTGTAAGATCCATTTTGGTCTTTTCCCCTCCAGAATGTTTAGACAATAAATTTGCATTGTTGTCACCAGGCTTATGGTAATTTGTTATGATAGCCATGGAAAACTAGCATAATTCATAAAACAAAAACTTTGCCCACAAATTACTACTTAACTCAGTGACAGATCAGGTGATTCATATGCAAAAGCTATCACTACACTGAAATACTAGGTGTTTTCTTTGTTATTTTCATTTTCAGACCAGGAGATTTGAATATATTTAATGAAGCCGCATCTTTGTTTAACTCCTTAGCCATCATGAGCTTTTATTGATTGCTTTTCTAATTTGTAAGTAATACATACTCTTCTGAGTTATGTTTAATCAATGTCCTCTCTTTTAAATAGAAATGTTATTGTACTTTATGGATTGTACTTGATGGAGAAGTTAAAAGAAAAATTGGACATAAAGCTTCTTACTTTCTTTTACTTCAATTGTCATTACTCTTCATGCCCAAATTATTATTTTCTTTCCGCCTCATTTTAAATTTGCCTTATTTTGAAAGCACGTGAGTTTATACTTTGGGAAATTCTGTTATAAAGAATTAGGTATAAATTTTGAATTATAATTCATTTGTTAGTGATAAATGTCACCATAGAAATATTTCCCTATCAAATTAGTTCTAAAAATGTGGACTAGCTAAATCATAATACTGTGAATAATAGAGTAATAAAAATTCATGCACCTGTGGTAATTAACTGGAAGCCACGGAGGGCTTCAGTAGTAAGTAATGTAAATTGTGTGTCGTAAGAAAAACCAATGATTTCTGTGCCTTAGAAGAGCTTTGTTTTTTGTTTTGTTTTGTTTTGTTTTAATGTAAAATATTATCAAAGTTTAATTTATAAATAATAAATTGCATATATCCTAAATGAAGCCCTGATGATTTTTGTCTAAGTATATACTCACATAATCAGCCTCCAGATTGCGACAAGAGCTACTACATCTCTGAAGCGAAGCATCCTCGTACCCATTTCCAATCAATGCTTACACATCCCCTTCCTCCCAATACCACTATTATGATTTTGTTTTTTGTCACGTTTGTGCATTTCACGTAAATAGAATCCTGAGAACATCATCTTTTTTCTCTGGCAATTTCACTTAATAGTTTAATCTACATTGTTTCATCTAGAAATAGTTCAATTATTTTAACCCTAGGTAGTAATGCATCATTTCTGAATATAAAAATGTGGGCAGGCATGGTGGCTCATACCTGTAAAGCCAGCATTTTGGGAGACTGAGGTGGAAGAATCTCGTGCCTATGATCCCAGCTACTCAGGAGGCTGAGGCAGGAGGATCACATGAACCCAGGAGGTCAAGGCTGCACTGAGCTGTGTTCGTGTCACACACTCCAGCCTGAGCAACAGAGCAAGGCCCTGTCTCTCTCTTTCTCTCTCTCCAACACACACACAAAGAAGATAAAAATGTATTTATTCTGTCTACTATTAATGGATATTTTTTATTGTTTCTAGTTTTGATAATTATAAAGAAAACATTTATGGACATTTTAATATGTCTTTTTGTGGCACATACATGAGTAATACTCCTGAGTTTGTACTAAGAGTGAAATTACTAAGTCCACAAGGTAGACATATGATTAACTTTGGTAGACACTGCCAAATATTTTCACTAAGAAATTTTTTTAAATCAATTTACATATCCACTATCAATTTGTTCAAGTTACAGCCACTCATATATTTCCTAACATTTGATGTTGACTGCCATTTTAAATAATTTGTATCTCCACTATGTCTATGCTCATACAGTGATATCTCCTTTTTGTCTTAATTTGTGTTCTCTTGATGTTTCAATGATGTAAGTCACATATTCATATTCTTACTAGCCATTTGGAAATTTTCAATTGTAAATGTCTATTCATGTCTTTTGCATATTTTTAAAGTGAGTGGCTTGAACACCTTTTTAAAGATAAATATTCAATCTGAACCAGCTTTCTTGCCTCCAAATTGCAAGACCTTATAAAATCCAGAATCTTAGCACAAAATAATGCAGAACATGTGTGTAAAATGTAACAATTTGATTATTATAATGTAACAAACTCTTGAAATATAACCACCTTATCACAAAAAATCCATAAAATCTAAAAGAGCCATGGACTACGAAAATAATCACATATATATACAAATCCCTCAGAAGAGGGCTTACACTAAGCCCCAACATTTAACAACAAAAATAAATAAATAAATTTTACTTTGATTGAGGTCTCAGTGGTAGTCCCAAATCGGCATTTGTTTGACTTCTCTTCCACCACAGCAACACTTGAGAGACTTCTAAAGTGATGCTCTGTGTCTCCATGATTGATATATTCATCATCACTATAATGTTCTGTATAGAAGTAATTAAGTTTAATTAAGTCATATGAAGAATACACACTTATGGTCAGACTTAGTTAAAATTCTGATTCCCATATGGGGAGCATGTTTAAAGATATCAGTGTGGCTGGAGGAAGGGAATTGTGGTGAGAGATGCGACAGCATAAACAAAGGCAAATCCCAATGTAATTATTCTAAAAGGGAATGCAGGCACTCTAACTTCCCTGCAAAAGGGCATTCATTGTCCTCCAGGCAGATCATGGTGATCATGTAACCCACAAAAAAGGGTATTTAAAATAATGTTATGTTCTAAATGCAGGAATAATTTAAAATTGTAGGTCCTTCTTCAAAGAAAAGGCAACATATACAAATGCAAAATGGATCTTGCTTGCTTGTAGAAATGTAGATAATACAGTATATCAAGATATTAATAGAAGATGGTGTGGAGATTACAAGTGAAGTAATCATGTATTAAATAATGAATATTTTGAGTGCTATGCTAAGTGTATTTGATTTTTTTAAAGAAGGAAGTGAATGTAAAGGAGGACACCGAAGCTTCTTTCACAAGAAAGTTACAGTATCTGCATTGCCTTTTAGAATGATCATATTGCATGGCTTGGATGATAGCAGATCTTGGGTAGGAGTACCAGTGAGGAAGATGTTGCCATCGTCTAAACAAGAGATAATATTGAGTCAGTCCAGGGCATTGCCAGTTAAAATGGAAAGAGCTAGATTGAGTTAAGATGTATTTATGAGTTAAAATTCACAATGCTTCATGATTGATAGGGTCAATTGACATAAGCATCTGGATTAATGGAAGTTCCAGTAAATAAAAACAAAGAATTTTTGTCACGATAAGGGAAGTGAGGGTAGATAAGTTAGATTTTTAGAGCTTTTAAGGACGGTTGCCTATTAGAAAACTGAATATTGTGGTCTGGATTCTGAGAGGTATCAGATAGAAATAAAAGCTTAGAAAGAGGCACGGCACAGTGGCTCATGCCTGTATTCCCAGCACGTTGAGAGGCTGAGGCAGGCAGATCACCTGAGGTCGGGAGTTCGAGACCAGCCTGACCAACATGGAGAAACACCATCTCTACTAAAAATACAAAAATTAGCCCAGCTTGGTGGTGCATGCCTGTAAAGGTACTTGGGAGGCTGAGGCAAGAGAACCGCTTGAACCCGGACGCAGGGGTTGCAGTGAGCCGAGATGGAGACATTGCACTCCAGCCTAGGCAACAAGAGCGAAACTGTCTCAAAACAACAACAACAACAAAAAAAAAACAAGCAAACAAACAAAAAATCTAGAAAGAATACATCGAGGCCGGATGTGGTGGCTCATGCCTGTAATCCCAGCACTTTGGGAGGCCGAGGCAGGCAGATCATCTAAGGTTAGGAGTTCGAGACCAGCCTGGCTAACATTGTGAAACCCTGTCTCTACTAAAAATACCACAATTAGCCGGCGGTGGAGGCAGGTGCCTGTAATCCCAGCTACTTGGGAGGCTGAGGCAGGAGAATCGCTTGAACCTGGGAGTCAGAGGTTGCAGTGAGCTGAGATTGCACCATTGCACTCCAGCCTGGGTGACAAGAGCGAGACTCTGTCAAAAAGGAAAGAAGAAAGAAAGAAAGAAATACGTAAAAGAAAGAAAGCAAGAAAGAGAAAGAAAGAAAGAAACAAAGAAACAAAGAAACAAAAAGAAAGAAAGAAAGAAAAGAAAGAAAGAAAGAAAGAAGAAAGGAAGGAAGGGAGGGAAGGAAGGAAGAAAGAAAGGAAGGGGAAGGGAGAAGGAACGGGAAGGACAGGGAAGGAAGGAAGGAAGAAAGGAAGGGGAAGGGAGAAGGAACGGGAAGGACAGGGAAGGAAGGAAGGAAGGGGAAGGGAGAAGGAATGGGAAGGACAGGGAAGGAAGGAAGGAAGGAAGGGAAATATTTATAACATTTCAAGCCATGAGAATAGATAAAAGTGCCCAGGAGAGATTTTATGTATGTATGTATTTAGTAGATGATGACACTAGGGTAGGGATAAGCTCGGAGACTTGAAGAAAAAGCAATATCTGAATGAAATACCATGTGTAAAATGGGCCAAAAGCTTCAATAAGTAGAATGCGACATGATCACATAGCTACGTGTGGACCACGGTATGAATTTTGGATTTTATCCAGAGGATGTTATGGGAAGCTATTGGAGGATTAGAAGCAGGCTTCTGACAAGATCTAATTTGCATTTTTAAACAGTAATTCTGGCTCAGGCTGCATTACCAGTGGGCCGCTATGTTAGGAGACTATTGCTGTACCCCAGGGGTGAGATGACAATGGAAGCAAAGGATTTGCATGCAGCAGGTATGATATGAGAGTCAGAATACATTATAAAGGTAGAGCCAACAGAACTCACTGGTAGATATATTGTGGCATTTGTGGAAAAAATAGAACCCAACAGCAATTCTGTTTTTTTTTTTTCCTTTTTGATCTGAGCTAGTACACAAACGATGGCTCCGTCGTGGGCCTTAGGAAGAGCAGGGCTGTTTGGAAGAGCAGTGTAATCAAGCATTTAATATTTATCTTCCTATGTTTCACTTAAGTGAAGATGTTAAAAGGAGAAATGACTATATAAATCTGTTACTTAATGAAGAGCTCAAGGCTGAAGGTATTAATTAGGAACCACATTTAGGAGTTGTTTAAAGTCATGGGTCTGGGCAAGGTGACCCAGGTAATAAATGTATTTAGAGAAGGGAATAGCCATGCCAAGCTGTGGTGAAGAGAATGATGATGATTATGACAATGCTACTTATTATTGATAGGATATATTAATAAATGGGCTATATGACTAAGACATATCACTCTTTCTGGTATCTTTGATTAAGTCCCATTTGGTGGATGTTTATGGGCTTACAGAAAGTGAGTATATTACAAGTGTTTAGTGTTCCCCCATAAAATATTTAATATGTGATTCCACTCTTTTGTTTATTTGGGCATACAGTTATTTAGCCAATCAATGTTATCTCTTCTACCATGAAATAACCAGTCTCAATGCTTTCACATAGAGAGGCTTCTATGGAGATTCAAATTTCTTACTGTTTCTTTGCAGATGATCATCTTTTACTATCTAACTCCCTTGAAATCCTTTTTCCCCTCTGAAGAAGTTTATCTAATTATTTCTTGCAAACACATACACTTGTGAGAATTTCTTGTACATTTCAAATATTTTGACTAATTAAATGATTTTTTCTAATTTGTACTTGTAAAAGTCTATATTTGATATCTGCTCTGCAATTGACATATAAAGTCTAAAAATTAAATCTGATAAAATTTAATTGTAACTGCATTCTTCAATGCATTTAGGGGTTAAGGCCAAAATGAAATTATGGAAAATAGTAAACAAGGAAATAACTAAAGGACATTTAATGTAATTGTTTGAAGTTGTTCAAATGGAATCGATCTGAAATGAAGCTACTGAAAACAGTACCCTGTCATTCAAGACCTGGTTCTAGAGTATGTAATCAATTTTGATTGATGCTTCTGGTGACATGCTAAGTCCTTGATAACAGAGGGCTACAGAATGTCAAGAACAAGGCTCCTTTTTAAATATATCACATGTAATTTTAACTCTGGAAACCCCTAGTGTTGATTACCATTGTGCTCTGTGGTCATATGTTAGTATTGTCTCTTAAGTGCTGTGCAGGAGATCATTTACATAATGAATTAATTAATCTGTTCCCCCTAAGTCCTCACTACACTGTTACACTGTTACCCTCTTGACCCAAAATGTCTGTTATAGCCTGTCTTCATAATCTTGACCATACTTCACATTTTAATCTTTTTCCATTTCATGGTTACTATATGTATGAATTCTATCCTAGAAGTATTCAGTAATTATTCTGAACCTACGTTTTAACCATCTATCACATTTGGACTGTATCTCACTTCCACTGTTGTAGGTCTACTTGGTATTTATTTTTACAATTCTAATGCTTCAGTGTCCGAGGGGGGTTTTCCTGTGATTCCCTAGAACTTGGAACTTAGAACTTGAAAAGATTTGCTCCTTTATAATCTTTTTTTAAAAAACAGATATATTAAGATATAATTCACAGACCATAAAATTCAACCATTGAAAAGCGTACAATTCATTGGCTTTTTATTCAGATTTGGGCATCTTTGTGCATCCATCATGACAATCAATTTTAGAACATTTTATTACTCTGAAAAAAAAAAAACCACCATCCTATCAACTACTCCTTAGCTGATATGGTTAGGCTTTGTGTCTCCACCCAAATCTTATCTTGAATTGTAATCCTCATAATCCCCATGTGTCAAGGGAGAGAGACCAGGTGGTGGTAATTTGATCATGGAAGTGGTTTCCCCCATGCTGGTCTCATGATAGTGAGTAAATTCTCATGACATCTGATGGTTTTATAGGTGTTTGGTAGTTCTCCTGCATTCATTATCCTTTCTATCACCTTGTGAAGAAGTTTCCTTACTTCTGCTTCACCTTCTGACATCACTGTAAGTTTCCTGAGGCCTCCCCAGCCATGCTGAACTGTGAGTCTATTAAGCCTCCCCCTTCCTTTTTAAATTGCCCAATCTTGGGGAGTTCTTTAGAGCAGTGTGAAAATGGACTAATATATCAGCCATCTGATATTTTAAATAGAAGAAAAATAGAGCAGAGAATGGATATAGAAGTGTGGGTTTGGGGAGGGAAGAGGTAGTTTGCATTTATAAAGTAGCTAGAGAAGTCTGAGAAGGTAACATTTAAGTTAAGGTCAAACAGGCAAGCTGGCTGTGACTTTAAAATATATTTTGGATATGGGGCCTCTTGATGATATAAATGGACTAATTCCCTCTACCTATACTTTGAGTAAGTTATCTTATAATTGGAAATCTCTGCTCAAGAAAGACTTTTCTGATATTAAACATGGAAATACACTAACTACTAATATTAATAGGAATAGTAACAATAAAAACCTACAACATGGATATTAACAGTTATCGCCTCTCGTTTGTTTCCAAGAAAGACTCCCACCACACAGTGTAAAGATTCCCCATCAAATAGGCTAATGTCAAAATGCTAGTTCTGCTTGTAAACCCACTTGCAGTGGCAGATAAGAGCCTGCCATTTCCCTTCTTAGTAGTTTCTGATATTGATGTTGTACACGTGTCCCTGTGATGGGTAGCATGCAGAGAGTGATGCTTCATTACCCAATATCATTTTGCACTTGTTATCTCTTTCTCATGGATGAAGTGCACAAGATGAAAGGGGTTAACAGGCTCAAACCACCGTGGTAGACACAGTGCAGTGCATAATGAGCAGAGAATTCTTTTCCTTCTAACTTCTAAATGCCTACAGCAATTATGTTCTCTTTCTAATTATTCTCTTGCAAGTGTGTACATATGATTTTGTGTTGAAAGAACATTGCTAAGGGAGTAAAGAATTAATAGACACTTGCCCTTACAAAGGGAACTGTGGTTACTCTCTAAGGACACAGTTTAAATCTCTAATATTTCCAAGTACTGCTTTATTGTTTGTTTATACAATGCAATCACTAACTAAGTGGTCAAAGACTAGATATGGTTTCCATAACTAAACAAAAAATAAAACTAAGAAGAGCAAGCCTATATCTATCACCAAGCTTAGGAAATGAAACAAACCCTCCCTCTGAAGTTTCCTGTGTGCATCTTCCCAAAGATTTTGCCTCTCTGTCCACTCTCTATGATAGCCACTAATCATGAATGTTTTACTAATCATTTTCTAGCACTTATTTACAATTTTGTTATATAGGCATATGTATCCTCAAGCAATAATTTGTTTCCTTTTTCTGGTTTTAGCCTTTACATAATTACAGCCAGACTAAGTGTATTATTTTATGATTTAATTTTGCACCCATTTAATTTAGACATTTATGTTATATAGACACCCATGCACATGTGCACAAAAATATACATATAACTATTCGGTAAAATAAATGAATGTGTAAGCATATAATTTGTATTTGTTAATCTCTATAATTTTATATATATATGTAACTTTACACATCAAGCAGTGCTGCCATAGATGGTGTTGTGAATGTTGTGCATGTTTTTTGTATAGAATTGAGGTTCTCTAATAATGGATATCTGGATTTTATCATATGATTCCCCTTTAGATTTACTAGCTCATGCAAAAAAGCTTTTCTGAAGCGATTATAGAAAACTCATACTATTAGCAATGCAAAGTGTATGCCAGTCTTTATACCTTGGCATTGCCATCTCATTTTCAAATAAGGATAGGCATTTTTGTTTGTTTAAGAAAGCTCGTATCACATTATGCCACCAAATGTCAAATTACCTAATGCGGTATAGCATTTCTTATCTTTGAAATCCTATGTTTTCCAAATGCTAAATTGACAGTCACTTAAATAAAACTCAACTCTGTTCTTTCTGCTGTCCTCTTCTCTTCTTGCCTAGTGTTCCCCTTGCATTAGTATGTGAAAAATATGAGTCTCTTGCTCTCCCACTCTCCTGTGTGTGGTACCACAATGCATAGAAAGAAATATGGCCTTGGAAAGGAAAGCATTCATCTGAGTCAGAGTTCTGCCTAGCCTTGGGCAAGTCACCTAAGTTTTCATTAGCTCACACAGTTCACAAAAGGAAAAGTAAGGGTAAATAACAAAGCCTATTCATAATAATCGCTGTTGCAAACAATGGAAATATTGTATTCACAAGCCTGGCAGAGTGCCTGGTACATTTCAGGCAGTTAATAAAAGGCAGATAATATTTTTATTACAGAGACTTCACATCCAAGACCTTAGTCCTCATTTCACCCTCCTACCTTTTTTGACAGTATCATTTCTCTACATCTGTTTTCATTAACCAGCTTGATTTTATCCCTCTACACATACTTTGTAATTCAGTACATTTTTCACTTTGGATATTTTAAAATGTCATATATTCATAATTAGCATTTCTTTGAACTACAGTTTTGCAGACTAAATTCCAATATTATCACATTTGTCCATCTTATCCTGTTCACAGTAGATATTTTGTTAAGCTTAAAGTAATTGGCAAGAAAAATAATTCTCTGCTTAAACTGAGAAAAAATATCATGAATATGTTGTCATTTATGTCACTTTGAGAAAGTGGTGAAAAAAAGTTGTTAAGATTTACCCTTTGTGATTGCATAAATAATAAGCAATCTATTAAATGGTACATAAAATCAGGTCCTAAAGAAACAACTCCAAATTATAAACTGCCTGTGAATATAATGAACATATGTTTGATCCAAATCATATATCTGTACCTGTGTCTATAAGAAATATATTTAACTTTTAAGTTTTATTTAAACCTGCGTGTATGTG
Organism: Homo sapiens; assembly: GCF_000001405.40. Lineage (NCBI taxonomy): Eukaryota > Metazoa > Chordata > Mammalia > Primates > Hominidae > Homo > Homo sapiens. Next base: position 22,648,584 of record NC_000005.10, on the reverse strand, counting down.
AAAAACAGGTAGGAAGGGTCATGGAAGGGATATCGGTAGAGAACTTAGATATCTCCTAGAAAATACTGCAACCATATTTTCCTAAGCCCAATACAGTGAGCTCAAGAGAATTTCAAAACAGACATTGGGGTTGAGTGAAGTTGCTCAGTCAGATCTGTCCAGTTTCTTCAATACCTATTTAGGTATAAGAAAGCAGTTGGCAAAGAATTATATAAGAACTTATCTACTCAATCTGTAAATTATAGTAGTAGATACTGTTCTGTGGTCTTGAGGATGTCAAGGCTGTACTCTATGAAATAGTAGAAGAGAGTGGGATGATTAAAAAGTGGCTGAAGCAATCACTGTATGAAGACTTGCATAGAAAATATTCAAATTAGATGTGTTGGAATTGCCAACGCTTGTGGAGGGAGTGCTTTTGGAGGATCAAAAAAAACTTGCATCAGCCTTTGTCAAAATTTATCTTCTGTATATATGTAAGGTTGGCAGGTAAAATAAGCTTATTAAGAACCACTCTAAATCATAACAAAGTGAATTACTGGCAATTCACAAATATTTAGTTAAGAATTCACAGTTAGTAACAACCGTTCCAAAAGCTGATTAATAAGATATTGCAATGTACTTAAAGTATATTTTTCAAAAACATATATATTACTGTTAGCTCACTTTCAACTTGGAAGAAAGGAAACATTTATAAGACAATATTGATACTTTCCATGGAAATGTGAGTTCAGGGATTGCATAAAAGTGAATTTTAATGGAATATTAGTTTTGACATAGTTCAAAAATAAATATTGTAATCAGAGTAAAAACTAATATCTGCAATAGAAAAATTAGTAGGAACTTGCTATTGTGTCCCCTAAAATTCATATGTTGAAGTCCTAAGCTCTAGTGTGACTATATTTGAAATATGGCCTTTAAGAGGTTATTAAAGTTAAATGAAGTCATAAGGATGGAAAACTAATTCTATGAGATCAAAGTCCTTACAAGAGGAGAAGGAAAAAACAGAGTGCTTTCTCTCTCTGTGACCAGTGAGGACACAGCGAGAAGGAAATCACCTATAAGCAAGGAAGAGAGCCCTCAGCAGAAACAGAACATACTGTCAACTTGATGTTGAACTTCCCAGCCTCCAGAAACATGAGAAATAAATTTATGTTGTTCTGTATTTTGTTATGGCATACCAAGCTTACTAATATAGAACTAAATTATAATATATAGAGAATAAAATAAAAATATTTTATGCTGGAAAGTGTTATAGAATTTAAATATTAATACTATGTACCATTAATGAATTTTAACAATGAGCCAGTCCTTACCTACCTAAGGTAACACCATTACCTTCCTCCCTTTCCTGCTAAAGAACCTGAGATACAGAGAAGACAACTAACTTGTCCAAAGTGAGTTGCACATTGTGGGATGTGTTGAACTAAGGTTCTATATTAGGCACTTTGGCTCAGAAATCTAGGTTTCTATCCAATTTTGCATGCTTAGAGTGAATGTGGGTCTTTATATTGTTCACATTATGAAACTATCCCCCAGTAATGCTTCTTTCACTTGAAATAATTTTTGGAATCATCTCTTGGCTTAATTAAAAAGAAAACTAGAGTAGTTTATGAGCCATATAAGAAAATGAGTTTCTTTACTTCTAAGTGATCACTTATTTGAAATATCAAATTAAATGTGTGACTAGTTTTCAAAATTTATATTTTTGATTAAGAACATAAACTAACCTAGGTTATGGGTGCTTTTGTAATTTCATAAGCAGTGTTCTCTCAATGCAGTTGGCAAATAAATGGTGTTTCTTAAATGTTAGTGTGGTATAAAGTAATCTAACTAGAAATTGGAAGATTTGAATTGTCCTGCATTCTTCTCACTAATTGTTCCTGTGATCTGAGCCCCATGTGTAAGCATTTCATTGTTGGTGTTGTTGTTGTTTTTATCTATAATCTTGCACTAATATTTGCTTTGTTTATTGCCACTGTGTTGGGAATCTAAAGAGAAAAACAATTATTTCCATAAATTTTAGTGTTATGTTTGGGACATACTTTTTAAATCAAATAGTTAATCCTCTCCTTCAGGAAGGAGAAAGGTGAGGCACAAATGAATATTGAGTTCCCTTAGTTACATTGTCAGAGGATGATTATAATTCAGAAATTTTCTTTTGTTCATTTGGTGCTTCTTCAGTAATTGAAAACATAACCAATTCATGCCTGAGTGCTGATCCACCATTTAATTTTTAGGGCACTTATAAGAAATGACAGCATGATTGATTGATTAATTGATAGATGGTTTTCCAGTAGTTGATTTCCACTTAACCATTCCTCTTCTCTGAAAGAAAAGTCAAGAAGGAGGGGTCCTTAATTTAGGTAAAATGTTTCTACTTCTGTAATTCATTATATTTTCTTATTATCAATGAGTCTATAAAGATAAGTGCATCATCTCCTTGACTTTGTCCCAAAATGTGTCTTTTTTGGTAGGGCAGCCTATTGTTTCCTTTATATCCAGGAGTCTTTTTTAGTTTGTTTATTTATTGGATTCATAGGCATATTTCAGAAATATTGAGAGATCAGATCCAGACCACTGAAATAAAACAAATATCCCAATAAGGTGAGCACAAAAAAATCCTTTTTGTTTCCCACAGATAAAATTATGTTTATATTATACTGTAATTTATTATGTATGCAATAGTATTATGTCTAAAAATGTACATACAATATATATGTAATATAAATGCTAATGAGCATCTAAACCTTCAATGAGTTGTGATCTTTTTGTTGGTAGAGGTTCTTGACTCATTGTTGATGGATGCTGACTGATCAAAGTGGTGATTGCTGAAAGCTGGCTGTGGCAATTTGTTAAAATAAGAAAACAATAAAGTTGGCCACATTGATCAACTCTTCCTTTCATGAAAGATTCCTCTGTAGCATATGATGCTATTTGATGAAATTTGATCTAAATTCGAATTTTTTCCAAATTGAAATCAATCTTCTCAAACTTGACTATTGCTTTGTCCACTAAGTTTATGAACTATTCTAACTCCTGTATTGTGATTTCACCAATGTTCATAGCATCTTTACCAGAAGTAGATTCCTTCACAAGAAACCATTTTATTTGCTAATCCATAAAAAGCAACTCTTTATCTGTTCAAGTTTTATCAGCAGATTTCAGCAATCTAGCCCCACATTCAGCTTCACTTCTAATTACAGTTTTCTTGCAGTTTCTACCACATCTGCAGTTACTTCCTCCACGGAAGTCTTGAACCCCTCAAAGTCATACAGAAGAGTTGGAATTAATTTCTTCTAAACTCCTGTTGATGTTGATATTTTGACCTCTTTTCATGGATCATGAATATTCTTGATGGCATTTAGAATGGTGAATCTTTTCCAAAAGGTTTTCAATTGATTTTGCCCAGATCCATTAGAATAATCACTGTCTATGGCAACTATTGCTTTACAAAATGTATTTCTTAAATAATACTACTTGAAAGTGAAGATTACTCTTGAACTATGGGCTGCAGAATAAATGCTGACTTAGCAAGCATAGAAACAGCATTAATGTCCTTGTGTATCAGCAGTAATATTTTGGAAAAATATCTTGTTTTCTGAGCAACAGTTCTCAACAATGGGCTTAAAATATTTAGTAAATCAGGCTGTAAACAGATGAGCTGTCATCTCGGCTTTGTTGTTCCATTTATAGAGCACAGAGTAGAATTAAAATAGTTCTTAAAGGCCCTAGGATTTTCAGAATAGTAAATGATCACTGGCTTCAATTTAGTCACCAGCTGCATTAACCTCCAACAAGAGAGTCACCCTGTCCTTTGAAGCTCTGAATCCAGGCTTTGACTTTTCCTTTCTATTAAAATCCTAAAAGGCATCTTCTTCCACCAGCAGGCTAGTTCATCTACATTGAAAATCTGTCATCTAGTATAGCTAAATTTTTTGGATAACATACTGCAGCTTCTATATAAGCACTTACTGCCTTATCTTGCACTTTCATGTTATGAAGAGGGCTTCTCTTCTCAAACCTCATGAACCAACCTGTGCTAGCTTCATTTTTTAAAAATTTTTATTTATCTGTCTTTTTTCTATAGCTTCTCACTTCTCTCAACCTTCATAGAATTGAAGAGAGTTAGAGTTTGGGCCTTGCTCTGGATTAAACTTTGGCTTAAGAGAATGTTGTAGCTGGTTTGATCTTCAATCTAACTCACTGAAATTTTTTCCGTATTAGCAATAAGGCTGTTTTGCATTCTTATTACTCATGTGTTCACTAGAGTAGCATTTTAAATTTTTTCAATAACTTTTCTTTTGCATTCACAACTTTGCTCACTGTTATTGCGAGGGTCCTAGCAGACTGTCTCAGCTTTCGGCAAGCCTTCTTCACTATGCTTCACCATTTTTAGCTTTTGATTTAAGTGAGAGTTGTGGGACTTTTCACTTGAACATGTAAAGGCCATTTAAGGGTTGTTAATTGGCTCAATTTCAGTATTGCTGTGTCTCAGGGAATACGGAGCACCGAGGAGAGGAAGAAGGACAGGGAATGGCTTGTGGTTAGAACAGGGAGAAGAGCAGACAGAGAACAGACATTTATTAATTAAGTTCATCATCTTATGTGGTCACTGTTCATACAACCCCCAAACCAATCACAATAGTAACCTCAAAGGTCATTGATCATAGATCACAATAATAGATAATATCATAGTGAAAATGTTTGAAACATTATGAGAATTACCAAATGTGACAGATGAACATGAAGTAAGCACATGCCGTTGGAAAAATGGTACTGATAGACTTGCTCAATGCAGGGCTGCCACAAACCATCAATTTGTGGAAAAAAAAAAAAAAAAAAAAAAAAAAAGATACCTTAAAATCCAAAAGCGCAATAAAATGAGCTGTGCCTGTGTTTTCTTTTACAAGTTTATGTAAGCTATTTCAATTCTTAGACTGCTTAATGTGCTCAACTTTAAATTCTTTTGGCAAGAGTTTAGCTTTAACTTGTTTGTTTACAACATCACCAAGAATATGCTGAGTAAGTTGTAGGCGTGATATTGCCAAAAATTTCTTGCCAAATAGAACTGAGAATTCTTGTATATTCACATATTAGTATCCAAAAAGTGTGTTTATGAAAGAGGCTAGAATAGATTTAAAGTAATTCTATTTTCCCTTCATATGAGCTATTTTATTTATTCATAGAAATATCATGTTTGAAGCAAACAGAAACTTTCTTTGTAATCAATGATAGGCAAATCACACAAATTTCAGGAGCTCAGTTGGGACCTAAAGAAAGTAAATCACAATAGTAAGTCGACATTAATGTGAAACCAGCTGACTACCCAGAGCAAACAATTGAAATTATTACAATACAGACTTATGGGCTGAGAAAACGATTGGGAGTTCCCATTAAATGCTAGATCTATTTCACGAAGCCTTAATGTTATTAAATATTTGCAGTCTCTTTCAATATAGCTTGCACTTTTTATTTTAATGCTAGGAGAGTCAGGTATCTCTGTGACCTTACTTTGATTTGATTTAAGCATCAATACAAAAGCTTCATAGGCACATTGTGAAGTAAAGTGATTTATTTTTTTCATTATTACCTCTGGGAATTATGGAGCATCCTGGACATAAATTCCAATGAGAACCCCATTCACTTGCACAGTAACGAAAAGTCAAGTCAATTCTAGAGACAAAAACCAGAATAGTAAAGTAAGGACGAAATTGAATTGCGTGTAACCATTAAATTATCCCTTTCAATGTAGAATTATTATCTATAGATTTTTATCTATACTAATGTTTATATAATTGTTTCACTTTAACTTTGAAAACTTTAGTAAATCGATGTTTCATAGTGATCCTATAAAGGTGTTACTCTGATTATGTAAATCTTAGTATCTACATTTATTCCAATTTTTAAAAAATAAAATATAACAAAATGGTCAAATTGTCGACTATGTATTTTTGTTAAACTCCCTATGGCCTCGACTTAGATTTCTGGCATTCTGATTTTCATAACTATCATGATCAGTCATAAGATTAACTGGGCTCCGTAAGTGTAATACAATTTATTCTTTTATGGCCCAGCTACCTTTCTTTAATATCAAGGCCATGGACTTCACCCCTAATACCATTTAACTCTTTTTCAAATGAATGTCATCTCAAGGTTATGGGGAAGGGAATATTTATGAATCACAGCCAATCAGACCAAATGAAGCAGAAAGACTTAGAGTTCATGACTTCTAAAGAAACTGCCTCAAATAATTTATCCTTATGCCAATGAGCAAATTGTGTTATTCTAGTAGCCTAAGGACATCAAATGTCTCTATATAATTTAGCTCAAGACAGCTAATCTTGCTACCCAGAATGTTAACTTACATAATTTTCATATATTATTTTAGTTATGAATGAGGGGAAGTAGAACTACAAATGATCACTTCTGTCGAAAAGTATTTGAAATTATTCTGCTCTATTATTGGCATTATTCCACTCTATTACTGATGTATATTCCTAAGTGCTACATTGTCTTTTCGTCTTATAAACAGTGAATTTACTTAAATATTTACCTGGCAAATATTTGAGATCTCATTGCATCTCAGTTTCTGTGCATTGAGCTTGGCCTACAAAAATGGAGGCCACATTTGTTCCCAGCCTAGCAGGGGAAATTGCTATATAAACAACTAACATCCATTCACTCACCAAAAACATGCATTGAGTTGCTTCATTATTAGGCATTATTCAAGACACTAGAAATATAGCAATAAAGAAGCCTGAGAAAGGCCCTCTCCAGGGATTATATTTTAGTGTGAGGAAATAAACATAAAAATTTTAAGATATCTTTTTAGTATAAGCCACTCATTGATATTTGAATAGCAAGAAAGAGTTGGCCAAGTAACGATCAGTGAGCAGAGCACCCTAGCAGAAGCCTTGGTTAGTGCAAAGGGCCTAAGGCAAGAAAAAATCCAGCATATTCAAAGAAGGGATTCTGTGTGGCTTGGGCAGAGCAGGTATGATGGTCAGTTTTAGGTGTAAACTTGAGTTAAGGAATAGCTAGCGAACCGGTAAAGTGCTGCTCTGGGTGGGCCTGTGAGGGTGACTCTGGAGGAGATTGGTGTGTGATTCAGCAGACCAAGTGGGGAAGATCTGCTCTCTATGAGGACAGGCACCATCAACCACTTGGGGCCCCAAATAGACAAAAAAGGCAGAGAAAATGTGATTTCCTCTCTCTCTATTGGAGCTGAGACAATCTTATTCTCCATCCTCGGATGTCAGAACTCCAAGACTTTAGGGTTTGCACTAGTACCCCCTCAAACCCATTCTGATTCTCAGGACTTTGGCCTTGGACTGAAAGGCACACCATCAGCTTCCCCGGTTCTGAGACCTTTGGAATTGGACTAAGCCACACCCGCAGCATCCCAGGGGCTTCAGTTTGCAGACAGCCTTTTGTAGGACTTCTCAGCCTCCATAATCAAGTGAGTCAATTTCCCTAAATATCCTCTCATGTGTCTACATCTATGTATGTACGTATGTGTCTATCTATCGTATTGGTCAATCTCTCTAGAGAACCCTAACTAATATAGCAGGTGAGGGTGAAGTGAAGTGGGGGAAGTTGGCAGAAGGCACATCAGAAAGCTTGAAAATGTTAATACAACTTCAAGTGGAGGCTCTTAAAATACTTTAAAATAGGGAATAAAATGATTGGCTTGTATTTTCCAAAGATGATTTTGGTGGCTGGTAGAGAATCGTATGAATAGTGACCAGAGAATAAGCAGGGAAACTCTTCCATTTTCCAAGCAAGACATAACAATGCGTGGATAATGATATACATTGGAAAGTGATGGGTTTTGCATGTTGTGCTCATTGAGAAGATGTAGGTTTGTAAGGTAAAGGAAAAGTTTTAAAAAGTCATATGATATTTTTTCAGGTTGGTGGTATTATAAGAAAGGGACAATTAATGCTATATGAAGAAAATAAAAACACAGCTCCCAGAGAACATGACAACTGGACCAGTGGAAATTCAGCAGCAGCCAAAAAATTAGATGTTAAATTATATGAATGGGAATGAGCCAATGATGTAGATATCATGATCAAATAATTATGGGTGCTTTGGTGCGATTAGGGCAAAGAAGTAGAGGAGAATTAGAAAAACAAGATAACGTAAACAGAGTAGGATTGTGTTAAGAAGTTTGGACATATCCTATAGGAAACAGAAATATAGGAGATATGTGTTTTAAGATTATTAAAGTAATACATGACAAAATAGTGTTAGATTTTCTGAAATCACTTGCTATTTTCAAAGGTATTTTGTATATACTATCACATTGGTTCTCACCATGAGCTGAAGCAAAAAAGTAATATCGTCTCTCTCAATGAAGGTGAGCAAAAGAAAATTTGTCATGGAGGCTGGCAAAACTATCATGAACTTCAGGGCAAAATTTAATAGAGTGGATCCATATCAGAGAAATGAAGATATGGTTTCACTGCATGACTGTTGGCTGCAAATCATCAAAATTAGGGATATTTTGTTACCACTTTCTTTATTGTTTATTTTTTCTCTCTGCTCCTCTCCCTGCATATGGTTGTTATTCAATGTATTTGTTAAATTCATTATTTTTTTCTGAAAAGAATGAATAAAGAGAAACAAAAGATTTTATTTGCAGAAATTACATAAAAGACAGTCCTCAGTTAAATCTTCCTGATTAATAGGTTGACTGTAAGTCACTCGGGCCTGAAACAGTATGTGTTTTGAGCACTCCCTCTTGAATTTCTGATTCAACTGTATTGGGGTGGATCATATTAAAAATGTTTCATGTTCTACTCTGAGGCACTCATCCTGAGCACCAGAGACCTAAGCAGAATGGGGCTAATTAGTGGGGAGAGAATCAGCAAACTGAGTTTACCAGGTAAAAATAAAACGATTTGCTCCTTTACAAGGACTTAAGCCTTTGGAAACTGGAAAGTAAAAATGTTATTTCCAAGTCTCGTAAACTAGCACGTTCAGAACTCTTGATGGCCCAACCAAGAGTCTGGGTCCCTCTTGGTTCCAATTCAGTTTAGAGCAGTCGGCAATTGCCTCATGTTGGCTGTGGTCAGTGTCAAGACGGCCAATTGCAGATAAAGATTTGCAGATCAATTAATGAAAATTTGAAAAAAAAAAAAAAAAAAGAAGAAGAAAAGCTTAAATATCATCCCAGAAAGATTTAAAAACTTGCCCAGCCACATTAGTGGTTATTGAAAATATTGGAACTAGGACTTAGCTTATATAGCTCTATATAACTTGGAAGTTTGAATTAGCTTAACCTTTACTGCTTGCACTCCTCTCTGCTCCGTGCCATGATTCTGGATTGCTTGTAATTCCTCTCCACACACACGACACTACTTCACAGCCTTCTAATTTGCTTCATGCTATCCTCAGTCCCTGAAGTATCCTTTCCACTAATCCTCTTCATAGCTAACTACTATTCAGTTCACTGGCAATTTAGCCAAAACGTCTGCTTCTCCAGGCATTCTTTTTTTTTTTTTTTTTTTTTTTTTTTTTTTTTTTTTTGAGGCGGACTCTCACTCTGACGCCCACGCTGGAGTGCCCTGGCGGGATCTCGGCTCACTGCAAGCTCCGCCTCCCGGGTTCACGCCATTCTCCTGCCTCAGCCTCCAGAGTAGCTGGGACTACAGGCGCCCGCCATCACGCCCGGCTAATTTTTTTGTATTTTTAATAGAGACGGGGTTTCACCTTGTTAGCCAGGATGGTCTCAATCTCCTGACCTCGTGATATGCCTACCTCGGCCTCCCGAAGTGCTGGGATTACATTCTCCAGGCATTCTTACCTGACGACCACTCCTGACAGAGAAAGTGCTCACAGCCTGTCCTTGTGTAACTCCTGAGCATACCTCTACCATCAAGGTATGTTATTTTATTTATGTATTGAGCTATGACGGTTAACACTTAGTGTCAACTTGTTTGAATTGGAGGATGCAAAGTATTGTTCCTGGGGGTGTCTGTGAGGGTGTTGCCAAAGGAGATTAACATTGGAGTCAGTGGACTGGGAGAGGCAGACCCACCCTCAATCTGGGTGGGCACCATATAATCAGCTTCAGACAGCTAGAATGAAAGCAGGCGGGGGAACTTGGAAGGACTAGACCAGCTGACTCTTCCAGCCTCCATCTTTCTCCCGTGCTGGATGCTTGCCGCCCTCAAACATCAGACTCCAAGTTTTTCAGCTTTCGGACTCTGGGACCTACACCAGTGGTTTGCCAGAGGCTCTTGGGCCTTTGGCCACAGACTGAAGGTGCACTGTCAGCTTCCCTACTTTTGAGGTTTTGGGATGCTGCCTGGCTTTCTTGCTCCTCAGTTTGCAGACTGGCCTATTGTGGGACTTCACCTTGTGATCCTTTGAGTCAAAACTCCTTAATTAACTCCAGTTCATATATACATCTATCCTAATATTCCTGTCCCTCTAGAGAAGTCTAATACATGAGTTCCCTCATTAAACTCTCAGTTTCTAGATGAGTGTTGTATTGGCTGTTCTCAATCCAGAACTTAACACATAGGAAATGATCAATGATTTATGATTATTGTTATTGTGTGTGTGCTTGTATGAGTGAATTAATCTGAGCCCTATATTTTGGTTCATTCTTGGGTTCTTCTTGCTTAAAATGTAAAATTTCCTGTCAGATGAATTGCCAAGAAAAAGAAACAGCAACAATAGCAGTAACAATTTGAAGCTGAAGAAGTTGTACTATACAGAATCTCTACTATAAGTAGACATTACTAACTTATTTTTTTCTCACTGAATTTCATAGTAACTGACCAAAGAGGAATAAATTTTCATTGATACACTCAATATGCTTTGATGATTGAGACTTTTAACCATTGCATTTAGGAAGATAAACAACGTTTATGTCCACTAAATGAAGGAAAACACACCAGTTTGTCAATTTGTTCCAAGAGACTCTAATGAGACCATGCTCCCTAATCATCTGATGATCCTAAGAGAGGAAGCGCAATCTGCGCCATTTTGCTGTTCTGTCTGGGCAATTTACTGTATTTTATTCCCTGCCTGTGAAAAGGAGTACTTTTGTCCTGTGCTTATGCAGCACTTTGTAGCATCTGGTGCTTGTTAGAGAAAATGTTTTAGTTTCTTTTTCCTTTTCTCCTTTCTTTAAAGTGATCATCACCCGTGTAAGGAAGGACTTTTCAGGGTTACCTTGTAGCTGCTGAAAGGGAAGTGGATAGTTACTATTGCCTGGAGATGAGGTTAGCACAGAGAATTTTCTTCACATGTTTTCCATAGGGTATAACTTTACAGAAAAGCTGACTTATTACCAGTAGTAAAAATGTTTTAAGGGCTCTTTTGGAATAATTGTAGCCTTACATTGTGCGATTTTAATATTGCTGAAAAGCTAAAGAATATATTTTGTGTATATAGCTGAAATTGTATGTATGAATATAATACATTAAAGGATTTACTAATGTGTTTATTAATGAATGTATGATTTCTGCCTGTCAGAGTAGCATTAAAAACTATCAGAGCTATTGGGGTAACCACCTTAGTGAACTTCATCCCCACAGCTAGTCATGTACTATAGATAACATTAAGTCTTTTCTTAAAATCACCATTACCATCCTAACATCAACAGCCTAAATAAAACCGATATGAAATTACTGACCTGTTCATCCAACTGTTCCCCTGTATACAACTTGTCCTCTTCAATGTTCCACAGAGTACCACTGCATTTACTTATTTACTTTTTAAGACATTTTATTGAGATATAATTCACAAGCCATAAAATGGCTTCAACCAGTTAAAGTATAAAATGTAATGGTTTTTAGTATATACACAGTTGTACAACCGTAAGCAAAAACTAAGTTAAAAATATTTTCATCACCCTTTCCTCTGCCAAAGTAACCATTAGCCATCATTCCCCATTGACCCTCCCTCAGACATTGTCATTCACAATTATTTATCTTCTTATAGATTTGCCTATTCTAGACATTTTTATATAGATCTACTTCAACAACGTGTCATTTTTTAAATAACTAGCTTCTTTCACTTAGTATAACATTTTCATTGTACATCTATACTGAGGCATATATTAATAATACTTCATTTTTATTACTAAAGAATACGCCATTGTTTGGATATACAATATTGCATTTATCTACTCATAAGTTTCCAGACATTTGGGTAGTTTCCACATTTTAATTATTATAAATAATGCCAATATGAATATTCACTTCAAGTTTTTGTTTGGACATATGTTTGCATGTCTCTTGCATGTACACTTAGGGGTGAAAATAATTGGTTATATGATAGGCAACTATGTTTAAGAAGCTGAGAAAACTTCAAACCATTTTTCAAAACAACTACATTATTTTATATTCCCACTGGACATGTATAACTCCACCACTGTTTATTATTTTTCTTTTTGAATTATAGCCATCTTAATGAGTGCAATGGTATCTCATTGTGGTTTTGATTGGGGTTACCTAATTAATGATGTTGAGCACATTTTCATATGCTTATTGATAATTTATATATTTTCTTTGGATAAATGTCTACTAACATTATTTGGTAATCCTTTTCTTAGTTTTCTTAATGATTTTCTTAATTTTATATAATATTACTGTATAATATTTCTTTTTATTATTGAGTTGGAATTTTTTATTTTATTTTATTTTATTTTTTGAGATGGAGTCTCATTCTGTGGCCCAGGCTGGAGCAGTGGGCACAATCTCCTCTGACTGCAACTTCAGCCTTCCGGGTTCAAGCAGTTCTCCTGCCTCATCCTCCTGAGTAGCTGGGATTACAGGCGCATGCCACTACGCCCAGCTAATTTTTGTATTTTCAGTAGAGACGAGGTTTCACCATGTTGGTCAGGCCGGTTTCGATCTCCTGACCTCGTGATCCGCCTGCCTCAGCCTCCTAAAGTGCTGGTATTACAGGCTTGAGCCACCGCGCCCAGACTGGAAAATATTTGTATATTTATTCTAGATAAAATCTCCTTTTCAGATATATAATTTGAAGACATTTTCTTCCATTCTGTGGGTTGACTTTTCACTTACTTCATGATGTCCTTTGAAACACAAAAGTTTTATCATTGGTGAAATCCAAATTACCAACTTTTTTTGTTTCTTAGGTTTTGGTGTCCTATCTAAGAAACCATTGCCTAATTCAGGCTCACAGAGATTTAATCCTACCTTTCTTTTATAAGTTTATAATTTTAGCTCTTCTATTTTGTCCATGATAAATTTTGTATGAATTCTTGAATCTAGGTTGAGAATGAAGTCTGACTTCATTCTTTTGCATGTGTGTATCTGTTCGTCCCAGCACTCACTGTCGAAAAGAAAATTGTGTCCCCATTGAATTTTCTTGGCAATCTTGTCAAAATTGGATAAACATAAAAGTATGGGCTTATTTCTAGACTCTCAATTTTATTCCTTTGTTCTCTATGTCTATTCTTATGCTTAGACCATGCTGTCTTGATTACTGCACTAAGAAGTAAATTGTGAAATTGGAAATGTGAATCCTCTAAATTTGTTTCTCCTTCTCAAGAGGTTTTGTCTATTCTAAGTTCCTTGCATTATGTGATCATCTTGACAATTTCTGCCAAAAAAAAAAAAATCCAACTGTGATTTTGGTAGAGATTGTGTTAAATATGTGGTTCAATTTGGGGAGTATTGTCATCTTAACAATAACAAATCATCTGATCTATGATGAAGAGACAACTTTAGATTTACTTATGTCCTCTGTAATATAATTAAATTATATTTTGAATTTCACAGTGAATGAATATTTCACTTATTTTGATAAGTTTATTCCCAAGGAATTTATTTTTTCTTAATTTTACTGTAAATTAAATGTTCTTAATTACATTTTCAGATTATTCATTGCTAGTATTCAATTGATTTTTGCACATTGATACATCCATTACTGAAAGTGGGATATGAAAGTATTCAGCGGTGATCTTGAATTGTATATTTTTCCTTTGATTTATGCCCATTTTTGCTTCATGTATTAACAAGTTGTGTTGTAACACCAAATACATTCATAATACTTGTGTTTTTCTGATGCATTGAAAATGTTATCATTATAATATGTTCATATTTGTCTCCATAACAATTTTTGTCTTAAAGGATATTTTGTCTTTATTAGTATAACCACTATTACTCTTTTGCTCTTTTGGTTATTGTTGACCTGGTACTTTTTTCCATTTGGTTACTTTGAACCTATTTGTGTCTTGCAACCTAATTTTTATCTTTTGTAGAGAACATACAACATATAGTAGGATCATTTCTTAAATCTGTTAATTTCTGCCTCTCTGCTTTTGGTTGGAAGTTTTAATCAATTAACATATAATGTAATTACTTTTGTCTTGTTGCTATTTATAGTCTATAGTCTATATTTTCATGTGTTTATTTTTATATTTCTCATTACTGCCTTTTATGCTAAATATATAAATTCTAGTATATCATTTTGATTCAATTTTATTGTTTTTAAGTTAATTGTCTTAGTGGTTTGCCTACGGATTATCACTACCATCTTAATTTAGAATAATCTTGTTCAAATCTTGTAAACTTCATTTCAATACTATACAAAAGCTTTATAGCAATATGGTCCTTTCCTTTCCTCTTCTTATACATTATAATTGTTCATTTACGTGCTAATATATTATAATCCCATCCGTATTAGTCGTAGCTCTGTAGATAAAGAGAATTAATAGGAGATGTGTATCTTCTACTGAATATATAAAGAGGTTTCTTATAAGCTATTGGTTCATGCAATTGTAGAAGTTGAGAAGTCCCAGAATCTGCCTTCTGTGAGCTGGAGATCCAGGAAAGCTGGTTCAAAGCCTGAGAACCAGAGAGAAGATTATACAGATTCTAGCCTAGATTTGAAGGCCTGAGAATCAGGAGTTCTCAGAGCAGGAGAAGATCACTGTCATACCTCAAACAGTCTGGCCATTAGTTTAACATTCCTCCACCTTTTCATTCTATTTGAGCCCTGAAGAAATGGGATGAGGCCCACCACAACTGGAGAGGTCCATCTACTTTACTCTGTCCACCAATTCAAATGTTAGTGTCCTCTAGATGCACCCTCATAGACACACTCAGAGATAATGTTTAACCAGCTGAGAATCCTGTGACCCAGTAAAGTTGACATATAAAACTAACCATCACATTATTCAAATAAGTTTATAACCATTGCATTATATAATATTTTAAAATAATATGAGAAGAAAAGATATATAAACAAGAATCCATTGCACTTTTATATTCACTTTCATATAACTTTTATAGTTGCCTTACCTGAGTTATTACCTTTGCCTTCACCTGATTCTTTATTATCTTTTGTTTATTCATGTTATTATTCAGTGACTTTTAATTTAAAATTGAATGACTCCCATTAGATGGTTTTTGTGGGTATTCTACTAGCAATGAACTCTCTTTTTTAATTTAATAATTTCTTAATTTGTTTTTTATTTTGAAAGGTTCATTTTACTGGATATAACATTGTTGGTTGACTGTTTCATTCCCTTTGAGTGTGTTTTAAGACTGCCTCCTGGCATCCATTGTTTCTGATGGAAAGTCAGCTGTTAATTTCATTGAGGATTCCCTGTATGTGACCAGTTTAGAATTTATATTTATCCTGCTTTGTTTTTGTTCTTTTTTTTTCTGCTTTTGAGGTTCTTCTTTTAGTTTTGGCTTTCAGCAGCTTGAATATGATGTGTCTATATCTAGGGGTGGATCTCTTTGAGTTTATCCTATTTTGAATTTATCAAGAGTCTTGGTGGCAGAGATTAATATTTTTCATCACATTTAGGATGTTTTCAGCCATAATGTATCCACATATTATTTATTTCTCTCTCTCCTTACAAGCTGAGATTCCTATTATGCGTTTGTTAGTACAGTTGATGGTGCCCTACAAATCTCTGAGGTGCTGTTCACCTTTACAGTTATTTTTCTTTCTGCATATTATTATGGATTATCTCAACTGTCCTATCTTCATGTTCATGGATTCTTTCTTCTGCCAGCTCCAAATAACTTTTGAACATCTTCAGTGAATTTTAATGTAATTATTATTCTTCTTAATTCCAGAATTTTATTTCACCCCTCTTTTGTTTAAATAATTCATATCTCTTTATTGTTGCTCTGTATTTGGTGATACATTATCTATAAAGATTTTTTAAAAAGTTTAAACAATTTTTCAGTTCTTTTTTTAATTACTTAATTTATTTGTATTTATTTAATGTATTAGCGCATTCTCACATTGCTACAAGGAACTCCTGAGACTGGGTAACTTATAAAAAGAAGAGGTTTAAATGTCTCATTGTTCTGCAGGCTGTATAGGAAGCATGATTCTGGCATCTGCTTCTGGCATTCTGCTTTTTTAGTATCAGAGGTGTATGTGTAGGTTTGTTATACAGGCAAATTGTGTGCCATGGGGGTTTGGTGTACAGATTATTTTGTCACCCAGGTAATAAGCACACTCCCAACAGGTAGTTTTAAGATCCTCACCCTCCTCCCAACCTCTACCCTCTGCTACATCCTGATGTCTGGTGTTCCCTTCTTTGTTGATGTTATTTGGATTTGTGTCTCCACCTAGATCACATGTCAAATTGCAATCCCCATTGTTGCAGGTAGGGCCTGGTGGGAGGTGATTGGATCGTGGGGTTACATCCTTCATAAATGGTTTAACACCGACCCCTTGGTGCTGTCTTGTGATAGAGTTCTCACAAGATCTGGTTATTTAAATGTGTTTAGCACCTCTCGATTCCTCTCTTTGTCCTGCTCCAGTCATGTAAAGTGCTGGCTCTACCTTTGCCTTCCACCAGGATTGTTAAGTTTCCTGAGGCAAGAAGCAGAATGCCAGAAGCAGATGCCAGAATCATGCTTCCTATACAGCCTGCAGAACAATGAGACATTTAAACCTCTTCTTTTTATAAGTTACCCAGTCTCAGGAGTTCCTTGTAGCAATGTGAGAATGCGCTAATACATTTGTGTCCATGGATACTCGATGTTTAGGTCCCACTTGCAAGTGAGAACCTGCAGTATTTGGGTTTCTGTCCCTGCACCGGTTCACTTAAGATAATGGCCTCCAGCTCCATCCATGTTGCTGCAAATGACATAATCTCATTTTTTTTAAGGCTGCAAAGTATTCTATGGTGTATATAAACCACTTTTTATTTATCCAGTCTAGCAATGATAAACATTTAGGTTGATTCTGTGTCTCTAATATTGTGAATAGTGCTGCAGTACGCATATACATGCATGTGTCTTTATGACAGAATTATTTATCTTCCTTTGGGTATATACCCAATATTGGGATTGCTGAGTCGAATGGTAATTCTGTTTTAAGTTCTTTGAGGAGTTGCCAAACTGCTTTCCACAATGGCTAAACTAATCTACATTCCCACCAGCAGTGTATAAGCATTCCCTTTTCTCTAAAACCTCAATAGCGTCTGTTATTTTTTGACTTTTTAGTAATAACCATTCTAACTGGTGTGAGCTGGTATCTCATTGTTGTTTTGATTTTCATTTCTCTAATTAAGTAATGTTCAGCATTTTTTCATATGCTCGATGTCTGCATGTATCTTCTTTTCAGAGGTGTCTGTCCATGCACTTTTCCCACAATTTCATGGGATTGTTTGTTTTTTTGCTTGCTAATTTGTTTAAGTTCCTTATAGATTCTGGACACTATACCTTTGTTGGATGCATAATTTGCAAATATTTTCTTCCATTCTATAGGTTGTCTGTTTACTCTCTTGATAGTTTCCTTTGTTGTGCAGAACCTCTTTAGTTTACTTAAATCTCATTTTTAAATTCTTATTTTTGTTGCAATAGCTTTTGGGATCTTTGTCATGAAATCTTTGACAGGGCCTATGTCCAGAATGGCATTTCCTAGAATATCTTCAAGGATTTTGATAGTTACAGGTTTTAAGTTTTTTAACCTGTCTTGAGCTGATTTTTGTATGTGGCATAAGAAAGTGGTCCAGTTTCAATCTTCTGCATATAGCTAGCCAATTATCCCAGTAGCACTTATTGAATAGGTAGTTCTTTCACCGTTGCTTGTTTTGGCCAACCGTTGAAGATCAGATGCTTGTAGGTGGAGATTTTATTTATTAGTTCTCTATTCAGTTCCGTGGGTCTATATGACTGTTTTCATACCAGTACCATGCTGTTTTGTTTTAGAATAGTTTTAGCTTAGTTCGAAGTTGGATAATGTGGTACCTCCAGTTTTGTTCAAGTGGGGTAATATGATACCTCCAGTTTTGTTCCTTTTACTTAGGATTGCTTTGGCTATTTGGGCCCTTTTTTGGTTCCATATGAATTTTAGAATAGTTTCTTTTTTTCTAATTCTGTGATGAATGATGTTGGTAGTTTCATAGGAATATCAACAAATGTGTAAATTGCTTTGGAGAGTATGGCCATTTTAACAATATTGCTTCTACCTATCCATGAGCACTGAATGTTTTTCCATTTGTTTGTATTATCTCTGATTTCTTTGAGCAGTGTGTTATAATTCTCATTGTAGAGATCTTTCACCTTCCTGCTTAGCTGTATTCCTAGGTATTTTATTTTATTTTGATTATTGTAAATACGATTGTGTTCTTGATTTGGCACTCAGCATGGACATTTTTGGTGTACAGAAACCTACTAATTTTTGTATATTGATTTTGTATTCTGAAATTTTGCTGAGGTTTTTTTATCAGACCTAGGAGCTTTTAGGCAGAGACTATGGGGTTTTCTAGCTAAAATATTATGTTGTCTGCAGACACAGCTAGTGTGACTTCCCTTCCTATTTGGATGCCATTTATTTCTTTCTCTTACCTAATTACTCTGACTAGGATTTCCAGTACTACATTAAACAATAGTAGTAAGGGTGGGTATCCTTGTCTTGTTCCAGTTCTCAAGAGTAATGCTTCCACCTTTTGCTCATTCATTATGATGTTGGCTGTGGGTTTGCCATAGATGAATCTAATTATTGTAAAGTATGTTCTTTCAATGCCCAGTTGGTTGAAGGTTGTTAACATGAAGGTATGTCGAATCTTATCATAAGCATTTTCTATATCTATTGAGATGATCGTGTGGTTTTGTTTTTAGTTCTGTTTATGTAATAAATCAGATTTATAGATTTGAATATGTTGAAAAAATCTTGCATTCCAGAATGAAGCCTACTTAATCTAGGTGGATTCGATTTTGATGTTCTGCTGGATTCAGTTTGCTAGTATTTTGTTGAGAATTTTTCTTCTATGTTCATCAAGAATTTTGGCCTGCAGTTTTTGTGTGTGTTTGTGTTTATGCGTGTGTGTCTCTGTCAGGTTTTGGTATCAGAAAGATGGTGACCTCAGAGAATGAGTTAGGGTAGGAGATCCTCTGATTCAGTCTTTTGAAATAGTTTTAGTAGAAATGATACCAGCTCTTTTTATATGTCTGGAATAACCTGGCTGTGCATCCATCTAGTACTGGCCTTTTCCTGGTTGGCAGCCTTTTTATTACTGATTCACTTTTGTAACTCATTATTTTTCTGTTCAAGATTTAAATTTATTCCAGGTTCAATCTTGGGAGTTTATGCTTCCAGATTCTTTTCCATTTCTTGTAGATTTTCTAGTTTATGTGCATAGAGTTTTTCATGATAGTGTCTGAGAGATTTTTTTTTTTTATTTCTGAGGGGTCAGTGGTAATGTCCCCATTGTCATTTCTGATTGTATTCATTTGGATATTCTCTCTTTTTTCTTTATTAGTCTAGCTAGCAGTCTATCAATCTTATTTATTCTTTCAAAACATCAACTTCTGGATTCATCGATCTTTTGTAAGTTTTTTACATCTCAATTTCCTTCAGTTCAGATTTGATTTTGGATATTTCTTGTCCTCTGCTAGCTTTGACATTGGTTTATTCTTGTTTCTCTAGCTTCTCTAAGTGTAATGTTATGTTGTTCATTTGAGATCTTTCTAACTTTATGACACTGGTGTTTAGCGCTATAAACTTCCCTGTTAACACTGCCTTGGCTGTGTCCCAGAGATCCTGGTATGTTGTGTCTTTGTTGTCATTAGTTTCAAAGAACTTATTCATTACTGGCTTAATTTCATTGTTTATGCAAAAGTCATTCAGGAGCAGATTGTTTAATTTCCATGTAATGGTATGGTTTTGAGCAATCTCCTTAGTATTGATGTGTATTTTTATTGCATGTGGTACAAAAGTGTGGTAGGTATGATTTTGGTTTTTTTGAATTTGCTGAGAATTGTTTTGCAGCTGATTGTGTAGTCAACTTTATAGCATAGTTCATGCGCAGACAAGAAGAATGTATATTCTGTTGTTTTGGATGGAGAGTTCTTTAGATGTCTGTTAGGTCTATATGGTCAAGTGTCGAGTTTGAGTCCTGAATATCTAGTTTTATGCCTTGATGGTTGATCTAATAATGTCTGTGGAGTGTTGAAGTCTCTCATTATTATTTTGTGGTTACCTAAGTTTCTTCATAGATTTGTAAGAACTTGCTTTTATGAATCTTGGTGCTCCTTTGTTGGGTGCATATGTATATTTAGGATAGTTAAGTCTTCTTGTTGAGTTGAGCCCTTTACCATTATGTAATACCCTTCTTTGTGTTTTTTCTTTTTAATTTAATCTTTGTTGGATTAAAGTCTGTTATGTCTGAAATTAAAATATTAATCCTTACTTTTTTTTTCTGTTTTCCATTTTCTTGGAAGATTTTCCTCCATCCTTTTACTTTTAGCCTGTGGGTGTCAATTGCATGTGAGATGGGTGTCTTGAAGACAACATACAGTTGGGTCTTGCTTCTTTATCCAACTTGCCCCTCTGTGTCTTTTAATTGGGACATTTAGCTCATTCACATTCAAGGGTAATATTGATATGTGCAGAATTGGACCTGTCAGTAAGTAGTTATCTGGTTATTATGCATACTTAATGGTGTAGTTGCTTTATTGTGTCAATGGTCTACGTACTTAAGTGTGTTTTTGTGGTGGTTGGTAATGGTCTTTCATTTTCCTGTTTTGCACACCCTTAAGGACCTCTTGTAAAGTGGCAAGGAATTCTCCTAACATTTGCTTGTCTGTAAAGGATCTTATTTCTATTTCATTTATAAAACTTAGTTTGGCTGGATATGAAATCCTTGATCAGAGTTTCTTTTTTTTTTTTTAATAATAGTGAATATAGGCACACAATCCCTCCTGGATTGTAAGATTTCTGCTGAAACATCTGATGTTAGCCTGATGGGTTCCTTTTGTAGGTGACATTGCCCTTTGCTCTGGCTGTTTTTAATATATTTTTCTTTTATATCGACCTTGGAGAATCTGATGACTACGTGTCTTGGGGATAATCATCCTGTATAGTATTTCACAGAGGTTCTCTGGATTTGCTGAATTTGCATATTGGCTTCTCTAGTGAAGTTTGGGAAATATTTGTGGGTAATATCCTCAAATATGTTTTTCAAGTTGTTTGCTTCATCTCCCTCTCTTTTAGGGATACCAATGAGTCGTAGATATTGTCTCTTTACATAATCCCACATTTCTCAGAGGTTTTGTTTTTCTTGTTCGTTTTTGTTTGACTGAGTTAATTTGGACAACCAGTGTCTAAGCTCCAAGATTCTTTCCTCTACATGGTCTATTCTGCTGTTAATACTTGCAATTGTATTATGAAATTCTTACAGTGTTTTTTTTAAGTTCTCTCACATCAGTTTGGTTCTTTCTTAAAAATAGTTATTTTGTCTTTTCATTCCTGTATCATTTTATCATATTCCTCAGATTCTTTAAATTGGGCTTCAACTTTCTCCTGAATCTCAATGATCTTCATTCCCATCCATATTCTGAATTCTATGTCTGTCATTTTAGCCATTTCAGCCTGTGTAAGAACCATTGCTGGGGGAGCTAGTGTGGTCATTCAGAGGTAAGAAGACATTCTGGCTTTTTGAGTTGCCAGAGTTCTTGTGCTGGTTCTTTATTATCTGTATAGACTGTTATTCCTTTACTCTTTGATATTTCTGTTCTTTTTATTTAGTTTTCTTGCTGGTATCTTCTTTGATGCCCTTAGGGGTTTGATTCTGGTATAAGGGATGTTAGGTCAACTAGCTTTGATTCTGGAAGATTTCAGGGGGCTAAGCCTCAGCTCTGCACTCTTGGGCTATGTGCTCTATCACTGGGATCTGGTACCAGGCCCCAGCTTTATTCCCTAACTGCTCAAAGTTATGAACCTACTGCATTTAAGAGGTTGAGATGATTCCAGTCCACTAGCCCCAACATTCTGATGAGGTGTGCTGGCCAAAATGCTCTGTAGGGGTGGTGGCAGTGGAATCTGTGTTTGCCCGCATGTGTCAGAAGCTGCAGTGATGCATCAGGGTGCGCTCTGTCAGCTGGGGGCAGGGCACTGGCAGGAATGGGGCAGAGGCCTTCATGCACATGCTTATGCCTGCAACAATGGTGAGGCAGAGTGCCCACATGTTGGGGGGGGTAGGGTGCCAACATGTATGCATGCACTTGTACTGGTAGTAGTGGCGGGAGCACCATGGCTGGCTGCCTGTGCCTCCATGGGGTTAGCATGCTGGTGGTGGTGACATCTGGATGGCGGCATGCACTGACACTGCCAGTACAGTGGGGGAGCAGGGTGCACACATGCCATTGGAGGAGGGGAGGCAAGGTCCACCCAAGTGTGTATACTGACAAAGTGATGGGATTTCAAGAAAGTGGGCAAGTGTGTGCCGGCAAGGCAAAAGGGGAAGGCTACTGTGGGGGGGATGCTGAAAGTGGGCTGGTTGAGTCAACAAAGGTCAGTTTGCTGACCTCTCTGATGGTCAGGTGTGGTCTGCCAGGAAAGGAGCTATGATGAGGGCCTCCAGGAAGCACCCTGCTTGGGCATTCAAATATGCCCTGCAAGCATGCGTGGGCAGGTTGGGGCCCCAGGAAAGGCCAGCAGACAGGGGGCCACTCAGATAGGACAGGCCTTATCCCCTGGGCAAGACGGCCATGCTCTGTCCAGGTCTAACACTACCCAAAAGCTAAAGCCAGCTAAAGGAGCTTGGCAAGCCTTGGAGGATGAGCCTCCCTGGCCATACTCCACTACAACCCTTCCTGAACCAAATTCTTTGGGCTCCATACAGGCTGGCATCCTTCCCCTGCCACCTTCCCAACCAACTCTTCCTGCTAGCTTAAGTGTCCATGGGATCGTGGGTTGTGCACCAGAATTCCAGAGGTCTGTGGTTAGTGTTGGCCACTCCTCACATGTTCAACTTGCCTCTTTCTTTTTTTTCCTATCATTGAACTTATTTATTTATTCATATATTCATTATTATACTTTAAGTTCTAGGGTACATGTGCACAATGTGCAGGTTTGTTATATATGTATACATGTGCCATGTTGGTGTCCTGCATAAACTCATCATTTATATTAGGTATATCTCCTAATTCTATCCCTCCCCGCTCCCCACAACCCAAGACAGGCCCCGGTGTGTGATGTTCCCCTTCCTGTGTCCAAGTGTTCTCATTGTTCATTTCCCACCTGTGAGTGAGAACATGTGGTGTTTGGTTTTTTGTCATTGTGATAGTTTGCTGAGAATGATAGTTTCTAGCTTCATCCGTGTCCCTACAAAGGACATGAACTCACCCTTTTTTATGGCTGCATAGTATTCCATGGTGTATATGTGCCACATTTTCTTAATCCAGTCTATCATTGATGGACATTTGGGTTGGTTCCAAGTCTTTGCTATTGTGAATAGTGCCACAATAAACATACGTGTGCATGTGTCTTTATAGCAGCATGATTTATAATCCTTTGGGTATATACCCAGTAATGGAATTGCTGTGTCAAATGGTATTTCTAGTTCTAGATCCTTGAGGAATCGCCACACTGTCTTCCACAATAGTTGAACTAGTTTACAATCCCACCAACTGTGTAAAAGTGTTCCTGTTTCTCCACATCCTCTCCAGCACCTATTGTTTCCTGACTTTTTAATGATCGCCATTCTAACTGGTGTGAGATGGTATCTCGTTGTGGTTTTGATTTGCATTTCTCTGATGGCCAGTGATGATGAGCATTTTTTCATGTGTCTGT
This sequence comes from Homo sapiens, assembly GCF_000001405.40. Taxonomy (NCBI): domain Eukaryota; kingdom Metazoa; phylum Chordata; class Mammalia; order Primates; family Hominidae; genus Homo; species Homo sapiens. The sequence goes on along the minus strand of NC_000005.10, from coordinate 22,624,542 downwards.
TGGCTACATAAATGTCTTCTTTTGAGAAGTGTCTGTTCATATCCTTCATCCACATTTTGATGGAGGTTGTTTGTTTTTTTCTTGTAAATTTGTTTGAGTTCTTTGTAGATTCTGGATATTAGCCCTTTGTCAGATGAGTAGATTGCAAAAATTTTCTCCCATTCTGTAGGTTGCCTGTTCACTCCGATGGTAGTTTCTTCTGCTGTGCAGCTCTTTAGTTTAATTAGATCCCATTTGTCAATTTTGGCTTTCGTTACCTTTGCTTTTGGTGTTTTAGACATGAAATACTTGCCCATGCCTACGTCCTGAATGGTATTGCCTAGGTTTTCTTCTAGGGTTTTTATGGTTTTAGGTCTAACATTTAAGTCTTTAATCCATCTTGAATTTTTGTATAAGGTGTAAGGAAGGGATCCAGTTTCAGCTTTCTACATATGGCTAGCCAGTTTTCCCAGTACCATTTATTAAATAGGGAATCCTTTCCCCATTTCTTGGTTTTGTCAGGTTTGTCAAAGATCAGATGGTTGTAGATGTGTGGTATTATTTCTGAGGGCTCTGTTCTGTTCCATTGGTCTACATCTCTGTTTTGGTACCAGTACCATGCTGTTTTGTTTACTGTAGCCTTGTAGTATAATTTGAAGTCAGGTAGCGTGATACCTTCAACTTTGTTCTTTTGGCTTAGGATTGTCTTGGCAATGCGGGCTCTTTTTTGGTTCCATATGAACTTTAAAGTAGTTTTTTCCAATTCTGTGAAGAAAGTCATTGGTAGCTTGATGGGTATGGTATTGAATCTATAAATTACCTTGGGCAGTATGGCCATTTTCATGATATTGATTCTTCCTATTTATGAGCATGGAATGTTCTTCCATTTGTTTGTGTCCTCTTTTATTTCATTGAGCAGTGGTTTGTAGTTCTCCTTGAAGAGGTCCTTCATGTCCCTTGTAAGTTGGATTCCTAGGTATTTGATTCTCTTTGAAGCAATTGTGAATGGGAGTTCACTCATGATTTGGCTCTCTGTTTGTCTGTTATTGGTGTATAGGAATGCTTGTGATTTTTGCACATTGATTTTCTATCCTGAGACTTTGCTGAATTTGCTTATCAGCTTAAGGAGATTTTGGGTTGAGACTGTGGGGTTTTCTAAATATACAATCATACCATCTGCAAACAGGGACAATTTGACTTCCTCTTTTCCTAACTGGATACTTTTATTTCTTTCTCCTGCCTGATTGCCCTGACCAGAACTTGCAACACTATGTTGAATAGGAGTGGTGAGAGAGCCTTGTCTTGTGCCAGTTTTCAAAGGGAATGCTTCCAGTTTTTGCCCATTCAGTATGATATTGGCTGTGGGTTTGTCATAAATAGCTCTTATTGTTTTGAGATACGTCCCATCAATACCTAATTTATTGAGAGTTTTTAGCATGAATGGCTGTTGAATTTTGTTGAAGGCCTTTTCTGCATCTATTGAGATAATCATGTGGTTTTTGTCTTTGGTTCTGTTTATATGCTGATTACGTTTATTGATTTGCGTATGTTGAACCAGTCTTGCATCCCAGGGATGAAGCCCACTTGATCATGATGGATAAGCTTTTTGATGTGCTGCTGGATTTGGTTTGCCAGTATTTTATTGAGGATTTTTGCATCGATGTTCATCAGGGATATTGGTCTAAAATTCTCTTTTTTTGTTGTGCCTCTGCCAGGCTTTGGTATCAGGATGATGCTGGCCTCATAAAATGAATTAGGGAGGATTCCCTCTTTTCTATTGATCGGAATAGTTTCAGAGGGAATGGTACCAACTCCTCCTTGTACCTCTGGTAGAATTCAGTTGTGAATCCATCTGGTCCTGGACTTTTTTTGGTGGTAGGCTACTAATTATTGCCTCAATTTCAGAGCCTGTTATTGGTCTATTCAGGGATTCAACTTCTTCCTGGTTTATTCTTGGGAGGGTGTATGTGTCCAGGAATTCATCCATTTCTTCTAGATTTTCTAGTTTATTTGAGTTGAGATGTTTATAGTATTCTCTGATGGTAGTTTGTATTTCTGTGGGATCGGTGGTGATATCCTCTTTATCATTTTTTTATTGCATGTATCTGGGGAGTCACTGGGAATCAGGAGCAGGTCCCAGTGTTTTGCTGCCCTGTGCAGGGTTCCCAGCTTCCTCCTCATTTAGTCCAGTGTCTGCGTCTTCCCTTTTTCCACTCTCAGTGCCTTCTCTCTGAAGACATGCCAATCTTCCTGATGTCCCTATTTTTCAGTAGGGGATGTTCCTCTCGGTTGCATCTAGTCAGCCATTTTCAAGTTCTCTTTAGTTCTTTGGACATATTAGTAATAGCTTATTTATAACAGCTTATTTATAACTTTGTCTAGTAAGTCCATCATCTCATCATTTTTTAGCTTTTGCTAATTTCCTTAATATTTTTCCAAATATATTTTCAGATTGATTTGTAATAGATATAAAAACCTTAATAAATGTATAATTGGCTGAGATTTGCCTACAGTTTAGCTTTCTTAAGAAATGTGTATCAATTTTTATTTTTAAACCTAACACAGCTAATGACTAGGGGATTAATCACTCTTTTTCTTTTCTATAGAATTATTATGTAAGACAGATTATTTAAACATTAAATATTTGGTAAAATTCCATTGAAAATGATTGTACCAGAGCCTAGTTTTTTGTGTTTTTACAGTGGGGGTGGCACTGAATTATCGATTTTTTTTATTTACCAGCTATAGAATCATTCACAATTTATAATTAATATTCAGTCAATTTTGGTAAGGATATTTGAGAAATATATAAATGGCATTTAAAATTTCAAATTTAGTGTTATAAGTTTGTTTATTGGCATAAACTCCAACAACTGTAGTATTTATTATTTCTAATGTTATCAATGAACACATTTCTTATTTTCTTGATTAATATTGCCAGAGAATTATCCATTTTATTAGTATATATAGAGAAATATTTACCATTGTTGAGCTTTCTTTGCTGTTATAATTTCTTTTATAATATTTTTTACTAGTAATTCATCCCCACTAATTTACTTTGTTTTATTCTGAGAATTTTTTTCTAAGATTTTTCAGGTTGGAAGCTCAGTTCACTAACTTTGAGGCTTTTTTACCTTCTAGTATAAGGCATTTATAAGTCTAATAGTCCTTTGAATATTGTTCTTGCTAGGCAGAACAACAGCACCCAAAATATGTGCATATCCTAATGCCTCCTACCTGTGAATACATTCTTACACAACAAAAGGAACTTCACAGGTGTGATTGATTAGCTTACAGAACTCGTGCTGGAAAGATCTTTCAGAATTTCCTGGTTGGCCCAGTCTAAGGGCAAAGGTGCTATAAGTGAAAGACAGAAGCAGACTCGGAGAGATTGGTAGATGCTATGCTGCTGGCTTTGAAGATGAACAAAGAGGCTAGAAGCCAAGTAATACAGGTGGTCTCTAGAAACTGGCAAAGTCAAGGAAAAAGATGTTCTCTTAGAACCTCTAGAAGTAAATGCAAGTCCGCAAATACTTTGCTTCTATTTTATTAAAGCCAATTTCAGAATTCTGATCTCCAGAACTCTGTGAAGGCATTTCTGTTGTTGAAGATGCTAAGTTTATGGTAATTTTCTTACAGCAGCAAAGGAAATGAATGCATTTCATTTGTCGCATCTAAAACTTTTATGGTTTTACAAATTTTATCACCTAGAAATATTTTGGAATATCCATTATAATGTTTTCTTTTCACAACAAGTGTTTAGATGTTTATTTTATCTGTGTGATTTAATGTCCAAATGAATGACATTTTTCTACCATAATTAGATTATGTTTCAGTAATGTGGTCTATATGACACTAATTCTATGACACAGGCAGCCTAGCATTTGATCATTTATTATTGATCTCACGCATGATCTACTGGGCATATACAGAATAATGAACCCTAAAATAGGAAGAAAGAAATATATGAACTATAAGTACATCAAGTTCTTAATTTTTGCTTTTTCTATTTTCTATATCTTTATTTTTTAATGGTATTTTTGCTCAAACAATTGGTCAGAGAGTGCACTAATCTCTTCCATATATTATAATTCTTTTCCATGTGTAGTGTTTTGTTTGTGAGTCACCTCTATTTTCAGACTATGATTAACTTCAAACACATTTAGAACTGTTGTACCTTCCTAATAAATTAAAATTATAACCATTATACACCAACTCTCTTTATTTTCCCTTCATTATTTTTCTTACTACAATTCTTCATCACCATTCTGTCATTAGAACTTCACCATACATTTAAGAGTCATTTCTTATATTTCAATATTTAATATTTAATTTCATGTGGAGTGGCCATTGGGGGTATCCAGTTTTCCATACTGAAGAAATGAAAACTCTTATTTGTGACTTGCATTCTGACAATACACATTGATTTCATTTTTCTAAACTTAGCTATGATTAAAAGCAAAAATGAACAAAACATAAACAAAAACTAGCTTTTTTATTGACCAAGATATTGACAAAGTTTTAAAATATCATTGGAGGTAAAATGATAATTTCCTGAGCTCTCTACTTAAAGGCATTCAATATCTGTATTGAGAAATGACCACATGAAAAGGATTTTTTTCATTTTGAATGTAAACAATAAAGCAAAAAATAATAATTTTAATTGACACTGAGTTTCTGAGACTAAAAAATGCTTTCTTGCTTACACATCATGCCTTACTTGTACATCATACAATACAAGCAAGGATGAATTTACAATGTTGATAAGCAATCCTGTACACATTCGCTGGGGGAAGCATAGTACCAGTAAACAGTGGAGACTTTTTTTTTTTGTTTAGAAAATATAAAATTAACTTGCAGTAGGGCTCAATGTATCAAGAGAAGCCTCATTCAGAAGGAGAATGGGAGCTCAGGTTTTCATGAGAATTATAGAAAATAGGTTACCATTTTGATATTTTTAGACAAGGCAAATGAGTTTTATGTCTTATCATAAAATAGATTTAAAAAAATAAAAGATTTCAAAAAACCAACAAAAGGATTGCACAAATCTCAGGTAATACGAGTTACAAAATTATAACCAGAAATATGTATTCAGAATTCAGAGACAATATCATAAAAGTTAAATTAAAAAGCCCATATAGTCAGGACTCTAGTCAGTGTTTACTAGTTTACTATAAAATCAGCAGGAACTGACCTCCTTTTGGATCAAAGTAACAGAACTTGCTGTGTGGTCCTGGCAATTGGCTCAGATAAGTTCTCACAGGATTGTGCCTCTTTTTAAAATAATTATGCTGAGTTTTCTGGAAATATTCACCAAGTAAAATACACGACCTTTGTTCACCCCAAAAGCAGTATAGTATGGAAAGATATAGGGACCAAAACAAATGAACAAAAGTCCTCATGGATATAAATGGAACTGTTCTGAGCCTACTATTAGAAATGGGGCTCACACAAATAGGAAAAATAAATAATAGAAGGTAAGAAGGTGTATTCATCTGTTCTTATGCTACTAATAAAGACATACTTGAGACTGGGTAATTTATAGAGGAAAGGGGTTTAATGAACTCACAGTTCCACATGGCTGGGGAGGTCTCACAATGATGGAGGAAGATGAAGAAAAAGCAAAGGGACGTCTGACATGGCAGCAGGCAAGGGAGTTTGCCTAGAGAAACCTCCCTTTATAAAACCATCAGATCTCGTGAGACTTACTCACTATCATGAGAGCAGCATGGAAATACCCACCCCCATGATTCAATTACCTCCTACTAGGTCCCTCCCATGACACATGGGAATTATGGGAGATTATATTCCAGATGAGATTAGCATGAAGACACAGCCAAACCAAATCAGAAGGACTTTAGAATTTCATGCCCAAGATATTTTTAAAACACACCTTTGAATAATTTATAGAGGCAAGAATATATCCTCAGTTACTGACACCTGACTTAGATATACAGGAAATGTAAGACTTTCTCAATACTTAGGGTGATATTCAGACAGTAACGAGCTCAGTGTTCAGTATTGCTGCTAATTAAGGTCAGCACACAATCCAAAGTTCAGGCACAGTGCAACAAGAGCTTTCTAAAGTATACCCTGGGTATTGACAGAAGCTTCTTTGAGCTCCCAAGTGTGAACCCAAGACTACATCGGCAATTGCTGCCATTGCGTATATCTGATTAAAGCTACTGTAGGTCCTTGTAATGTTGATCCTAGAGGATCCCTAGCCCTGGTGCCCAGGCATCTGGAAACATGCTGATAAATGCCCACAGTAGCCTGAAAATGTAGCAATTCTCAACTTGTGGTCATAGCAGAGAAAAAGTAAAATGCTGTATCTCACAGTGGATTCATGTGTGTCCTGGAAATCATATTGCAGTCATTATTTGAATGAAAAACAATTTATAATTTTGACATCTGCAAACTAAATATTGTCTTAAAAAGAGTCTATGTCATGAAGAAAAGTGCATTAATTTTGGAGGCATTAAAAGCTGAAAAAAAAACTAGCTCAGATTCTTTATAGCAAACTGGAGAGACTGGTTGACTTCCGATTCTCAGTTTCTGCATCTGTCAAATGGGCATAATTTATCTTATGTATTCAGTTTAACATCAATAATATCAATTGTTTATGAATATTAGTTATTGTTATTACCTCTAAGTTCTGCTTATAGCAATTTATGGGAAATAATAAGATGGATTTCCTGTGGGTGTAAAATCATACCATTGGGCAGCAGAAGTCTTTAGAAAACTCATATTACAACTGGGTTTTCAAGTTATATTATAATTGGATTGGAATAAGTTACTTCTCTCCATTATTCTCTTTGCACAAAACAAGTTAGTTTCTATGTTCAGATGGAAGAAAACAAGAGCAGAATCAGGTACCATGTAGAACCTGGATGTTAGTCAATATCAGGTTAAGAAATTGAAAACTGGAAGTTCTGAAAATAACTGGAGCTGAGAATGTTTAACAGGATTGAGAAATAGTTAAAACATAGGCACAAATTTGAAATTTGCATGGACATTTTTGTAATGGACAGACTTTGAATCCAAAGATACTTAACATTTATGGATGGAAACCTCATGAATAAAGCTAGATATTTTAAGGCAATGTGAAGTTTTTCCTAAACATATGATCTCCCCTCTGCTTTATTACCCTCCCTTTCCTATCCTTCTTAATTCATTTAGGCTGTTATATAGAATCTTATAGATTGGGTCACTGTAAACAACAAAAATTTATTTCTCAGAGGCTGGGAAGTCTAACATCAAGGTGCAGGCCAATTCCATATCTGGTGAGGGCACAGTTCCTCATTCCTAAGTGGCACCTTTTTTCTATGTTACTGCATTGTGGAAGGCACAAGGCAGCTCTCTGGGGCCTCTTTCTTAAGGGTGTTAATCCAGCCAGGCATGGTGGCTCATTTCTTTAATCCCAGCACTTTAGGAGGCTAGGTGGGAGCCTCACTTGAAACCAGGGGTTTGAGACCAGCCTGGGTAACATAATGAGACCTTGTCTGTACAAAAAAAATTAAAAACACAAAAAATTAGCTGTCTGTGGTGGCACACACCTCTAGTCCCGGCTACTCAGGAAGTTGAGGCAGGAGGATTACTTGAGCCCAGGAGTTCAAGGTTACAGTGAGCTGTGATCACACCACTACACTTCAGCATGAGAGGCAGAGGGGGACCCCATGGTAAGAAAAAAAAAAGTGAAAATTGGCACAAATTCCATTCACAAAGGCTCTGCCTTCGTGATCTAACCAACTCTCAAGTGTCCTACCTCCTAATACCATCACATTGGGGGTTAGGTTTCAACATAAGAATTTTAGAAGGACACAGACATTCAGATCATAGCACTCACCATCCATCCCCTCCCTCCTTTACCCTCCCCTTTCCTACTTTCTTTCTTTTCATCATATCAAGTAGTTTTACTGTTGATATGCTTTGGAGATTATATGTATGTATACACACATGCATGTACATGTTTAATTTTGTGTATGTATGTATTTAATTTTTAAATACCTCCAACAGAGAAAAGCAGAGAAATAAATGTAGAAACTATATATAGGTATATTTCAAATAATTTCCAAATGTTTGCTGGATATACTTCATAAATTTTTCCTAAGGAATTTTAAATGCAATCATATATATCTTGATATTTTACCCTCAAATACTCAAATTCACACATCTAAAAATGAGAATGGTTTCCTGCATTTTACAGTTATATTTTAGCACTTAATACTAATTTTCTATTGCTACCTAATTCATAGCTTTTCTCATACCTATTTGTATATATGCTTCCTTCAAAGAAGAAACAATTGAGAATTACAGATTACATTTTTTGCTATGTCTCCTAATTCTCTCTCTCTCCTTTATTTTCCATGACATTGACTTGTTGAAATGAACAGTACAGTTGACAGGTAGATGTTTGACTCAATAGAGTTTATATGTCTTTGACAATTTTATCTTATGGGTGAAACTGTGCACTGAATATTATTGCAAATCACCAAGCACTCAAAATTCTGGTCCTCCTATCCTAATGTTGCCAGGACGAATCATCAGTTTAAGGCAGTGAGAAGCAGATCTATCTTTCTTAAAGCCTTGCCTCTCAAAAGGCAAATAATATATAGGGTGATAGTTAGATAGCATGGGAATATTTGGTTCTCCATTAATCCTTTACCCAAAGATTTCAGTGTCTGTGGATGATCTACCCCCTCAAAGCTTACACATTTATTCCCAACCCTGCCATTCACCATACATTCATTATCTGGTATCCTTCTGTAAAGAAGAAATTCTCCTCATGCATGAGACTCTTTGATTAATTGGCAGTGTAGCTTGTACTGAAAAGGAAAAATTATTTTCATTTACAAATTTTTAGAATACAGAAATAAACAAAATAATTACCTCTAATTGTGTTTTGTTTCCTCTCTGGTTAGCTTATTTTGATTTATTTTGCTTTCCTTGGCTTTTGTTTTGTTGGCCTCACTTTCCCTTTAAATCTTACAAAGATACAAGTTTCATTTGACAGGGATCTTGAAGAGCAGCCTCCATTTATAAACTCCCTGCTAGGACCTAAAATTTCCCAGAACTGTAAAACTTGCTTTTCACAATATTTCCAAATATTAAAGTGAGAAATGTTATTGGTAACTTTTTATATTCTATTAATTATTTCCTTTAGGTAGAGAGAGTAACAATTTAGTACCACATAGCAGCATTTCATCTGAGCCTAACAGAAGGAAAGAATAAAAAATATATTATTTCAGTGAGTAATAATGGTTGAAAAAATAACAACTGTGATTACCTTACTTGAGACACATCCAAGACTTTAATGTGAGGACTTAATCAAACAAAAGAAAAGCAATAAGAAGCCCTGGAATTGTTGTCATTACACGTGATTAGAGTCTCATTTTTACATCTTATCTAAATGAAGTTCTATACAGTACTACACCCTTATCTGCAGTTATGATTTCTGTAGTTTGTTACCCATGGTCAATCATGATCCAAAAATGTTAAATGGAAAATTCCAGAGTAAATAATTTTTGCATTTTAAGTTGTTCTGAGTAGCTTGATGAAATCTTACACCGACACACTCTTCCCCACCCTGGATGACATGAATCTTCCCTTTGTCCAGTGTATCCATGCTGTCAAACCTCCCTACCCATGAGTTGCTTGGTAACCGTCTCTGTGATCAGATTAACTGTCACAGTACGACAGTGTGAATGGTCTATCTGTGAAATTGTGAAGAATAAAAAAGAAATTAATGCATAGTACATATGTATAGGGTTCAGTGCTATCCAAGATTTTAGGCATCCACTGGGGATATTGGAACATATTCCCCATGGATAAGGGGAAAATACTGTAATGGATTAGTTGGAAAAGGAGATGGAAACACCAAAAGCCCCCACCACACTATCTCATGCTGCATGATTTGGTCCTTTGCTATATCTATGTCAACTCCTTTTCATAATGCTGTCCTTCACACTTGAAACACGTTGACATGTTTTATATTTCCTTAAATTAACTAGTCTTTTTCCAATTGTGTTTCCACAAATTAACTCATCTCTTTCCACATGAGCACCTTACGACCATTGCAATCCTGCAACTTCTTTATCCAGTTTATCTGCTCATTCATGATAGCTCAGCTCAAGATAACAACAAAGAGGGAAACATTTCCTGATCCTTCAGGTAGGTGAGGTTCCCTAGCTTTATTCCTGTCCACAATTCTCCTGCAAGGCATTTACCCAGAGCGTGCAATTGTATAGTTTTGTGTGCATCTGAATAATGTATGTCTGCTTTTCCCATTTAGCCATCACTTCTCAGAAGGCAGGATGTGTTGATATCTCGCCCTCATTGTTTTGCAACAAGTCCAAATGAGAGCTTGGTTTATCATAGATATGTAATAAATGTGCGTCAAATACATAAATGAAATCTGATCTTCCATGTCTACTAAGAGCGTCTATATTGACTCTTGCTCTATATTTTATACTTCATAAAATGATTCCATGTACTTTATAAGTAAATTTTGTACTTTAAAAAATGAGATATATGTGCATAGCAAAATATGTGAAGAAGAAGACAGGAGCCAGACTGTCACTTCATATATGTCTGCTTTAGACTTTCTTTTAAGCAGGAAATATATTCATTTTGTAATTGAAATGAAAAATATAAAATAAATCTAATAAAAGTTGTTAACTTAAACATTTTTTTAGCTACAATCTAGCATTTGGGAATCTATTTATTTTCATAAACGTGATACACATGATTCCCAGTGAAATAAAAGAAGATATTTAGCCAACATCTTCTTTTACCCCCAATCAAAGCAATCGCTTCTCTATATCACTCAGCACTGCATTCACTCTCTTCCTTGCCAAGTTAGATTTTATTTTGCCGTGTATGTATTTTGGTCACATTTAATCCTTTCTGGAACAAGTCACGATGTGCATAAATACATACATAACACTTTGGAAACAGCACGTAAAGATGTTTTGGCAGTCGAAAATCTGTACTGAATATTTTCAAATATATAGGTTAAAGCACTGGCTTACTTACACTGTACTGAAAGAGAGTCGTGTCTCATAAATCATCACAACTTTGTCAGGGCACTTGAACATTTTGACTTTCAATGTAGCTCCGAAAGCCTGCAGAGTATGCCCACTGTACAGTTGCACAAGATTACAATCATCTAAAAATAATATTTACGTATATTTCTGTACATATCATAAGATTAAATAAGGACACATTAAAGTCAATATCTATATTTGTATTCACTACATTTATAAAAATTATCTTCTCTTTTTCTGATAATTCTGTTCAGAACTTAACCAAAACTTACTTTTTTTTGAAGTCATCACATTTCAATCTGCCAGGGCCCAGAGTGATAAATGTTCCAGGTTTTCCATTTCTGTCTCCTATTTGCAGAGGTTCATAATTCAAATGGAAAATCTGCTCTTGGATGAAATGTGACATGTAGATTTTATGGATGTCATCACATTAAGATGCTTATCACTCACTTCTTCTTTACCTCACCTACACCTCATATTCAGGAATATGAATGATACGGCAGAATTTCCAGATAAAGTGAATAAGGAAACATTTGTGCTCTGCTACACTCCATCTTCATTATCTGTAGATTTTTCAAATTTCACTTCTTCCAAGTTATTCCTCTGTCTTAATCTGGCCAATATTTTGGTCACCTAATCCTTTAAATACAATCTTTAGGAACTATGTTAGGGTTGAGGAGTTAATTTTATGCCCTGAATTAGTCCAGAAAAGGCTATGAATGTTACTGAGTTTCACTGAAAAATCTCACACATAAGCAGGGGAGAAGGGCTAAAAAGGAAAGAGATCTAGTTAGATAATAAGATGTAGTGGAGAACACACCAGACAGTCAAAAATACTGAGTTAACTGTCAATTTAAATACCAAATGATGCATCACATTGACATTCACAGCACCTTATCTTTACAGTACGGAATGAGGAGGCTCCACCAGATCATATTTATATCTGCATCTACATCTCAAATAACATAATTCGATGATAAAAAGAAAATAATAAAAGGGAGACATAAATTTGTTAAGTAAAATTAAGATATTTAGAAAGATAGAGAATCATCCGTCATTGCCACAAAATCTTTCTTTTCCTAGTATTATCCAACCATCATATTTCTAAAGTGATATTATGTAGTAAATATAAGATATCTGCACAAAGATAAACAGTGTTTCCAAATCCACAGCACAAAAAGTATAGCTTCCCCAGATATGTATACACATGTTTACACTACCTAAGACAAGTGTTAACCTGTATAAAGATTTACAGAAGTGTAAATGATGAGCATTATTTTTTGAAGAAAACTAATGGAGGTTCCACTGATAAATAAATTTTGAGCAAGTTATTGAAGGAAGAAAGAGAGCTCACCAGCGTATTGAAAGATCATTTATAAAAACATGGCTATTTAAATTAGCAAGTCTTTAGACCATGAGTGAGGCATATAACCAATAAGTAAGGGCCAAATATTAAAGTATTTTATACATTACCAAATGTTTTTAATTATCTTTGAATATGCCCGAATTCCATTCAGAATTCAATGCCATGAAGAGGAAAAATCAAATTCCCTATTTTGAAAGAATACATTGGTTTAAATTGGAAAGCAAATTAGAGGATAGGGTAGAAGCTAGGAAAAGGGATGATGAGAATCCAAACAAAGGCTCATCTTCCATTTGCCCCTCCAGATCCACTCTGCACTCTTCTGTGTCCTAATCTTTGCCCTTGAAGGCTGAGCTAAACCAACTGCACTCTGTTGTTCTCTAGTTTCCAATTAGATTCTGGGTTCAGCCAACAGGACATAGGAGCAGGAGACTGGGTGATAGGCATGCAGTCAGCTGAGTGTAATTATTTATTTGGCCTTATTCTTTCCAAAGACTGTATCTCTTGATAAATAGCACCATCTCTATATGAATAATACTCTGGTTTCTGGTTACTGCTCTCTATCTTTCAAGCTGAGACAGGCTAAAGGCTACTCTAACATCAATAGCCCAGGGGTACTGCATTGTTCCTGCTGGTTTCCCTAAACCTTTCCCTTTGTTAAACTTCTCAAACTTAGAGACTGGGAGAACCATTTGTTGTTCACTGTCACCCTGATCCATACAAAGACCAAGATAACAGGGTGATGCTAAGAAGGATCTAAGAGCCAGAATTGACTAAATTTGCTTACTTACTGAATATGGGGAGCAAAACAGAAGAATGAATTCAGAGTGTTCATCAAGTCTATGACTTAATTGTCAAAATAAATGGTTTTTCAATTGACTGAAGTTTAAGTGTAGAAAGAGGGGAAAGTTTAAGTGTGTATAAAATTGGTTCAGTTTTGGGATAAGTCAGAAGTGCCATAATTTCCTCCATATACTAATATCTAGAAGAAATAAATATGTGTCTGAAATATACAAGAAATATCTAGGATAAAAATATAGGTTTTCACATCATGAGCATATAGCATAAGTTAGGAGGACAATAAAAATTCCAGTGATGATATGCGTAATACAGTAGTTGAAGATAATAATACTGATGAATACCACAGATTAAAGTAACAGTTTGGGGATGAAGTCATAGTAGTATGTTTGAATTCAGTGTCATGTTGGGCAAATTAGTTATTAATGCCTCGTATACATCCTCATCTATCAAAGAGTATATCATGTAGAATTGTAATATTAATATGATATTGTTTATACAATTATTTTCCACCATAACCAACATATATAGAAAGTGATCAAAATATTTATCTTCTTTAATATTGAAGGATAATTAGATATTTTTAAGTAAAGTTTAATAAATGTATATTTGATATATTAGCATAGCAAAAATATGTGAAGACTACAATGAAGAGTAAAATAAGATATTAAAATAGAAGATTAAGAATCTAATGTTTCATAATTGAGCTGAATACAATTATAAAAATGAGAGAGATTTTATTCAGTATTTACCACAGTAAATAGGAAGCTTTATTCTTTTCACTTGAATCAACATGTATCAGATTTTTTGAGATTCTACAAAGTATAAGAGAAAACCAACTGAGAATTATTGACATAACTGAAGTATGGAAGTAATATAAAAACTGCATTATCCTACATCTGCAGAATCTAATACATTTTTACTAGATCGGTTTTATTTTTGCATGTTAATTGAATATTTTATTTATATGCATTAATGCAGAAATCTGCTAAACTTCCTAAATATTATAAATATGTGAAGACTCAATGGAATAAAAATTTACTTCATGCTCATCTGAAGTCCAAAATGGATGTTCCATTTGGTAAGAGCCTATCTTCCAAGACATGATATAAGAACCTAGTCTCCTTCCATCTTGTAGCTTTTTGCATACTTTTCAAGTTTTCTTTGCTTGTCTGTATCAAGTCATCAGTAAAAGCAAGGAGAATATATAGTCACCATGAGAAGTTTCCATTGAACAAAACAGGTTTGGAAACTCCATTATTTTGTATAGAACTTAGTCACATGAACAACTATATAGGGAGTGTTTGCAGTTGTAGTTTAGCAATTTGCCCAGGCAGAAGAGAAAATGAAATTAGTAAGCAGCAATCAATGTCTAACACAGGTGGAACTGGGGAAGCTCACTTGTTTTCAAATATCTTTCACTAATGTGTTAATCAGTTTGTAAATCAGCTTATACACTAGCATGGGCTTTACCTCTTTTAACTACATTTAATTTTGCTACTTTATTTGACTTACTCTAACACAGAATGGAATAAACAACAATCAAAAATACAAACAGACAGCATTGAGTAGATGACACACTTTACCGAAGACTTAAGGAATTTCCTTCATGTTTTTTTAGAGTTGAAGTAATTAGCTATACGTTTTTTTCTTCCTACCCTTAATATCAAACCATGCATTAAAAAACAGCTTATCAAAGCATTTTTCTAAACAAAGGCAGTTCTCTTCTTGAAAGGAATTGATTTCAGTTGCTTAGAATGAGCATTTCTCTTCTCTGTATATGTGTGACTGCATACATATATATTTTTACACATGAACAATTTTGCAGGAATTTGTGAACATTTATATTCTGAGCACTGAGCTAAGAATTGGAGATATAAAGATACTTAAGACATAATAGCTATTCTTAGATCCTACTAGGAAAGGCAAACACTTAGGCCAGAAACTTCAGATTATATAGTGAGTGTTGTAAGTGTGTGATGAGTGCTGAAAGAATACAAAGAGAGAACATATATATTAGTAGAGATTCCCTAGGATGCCAAAGAAAAAGTGCTTTCCCAGCTTAAGCAGTGACATGAGTGACACATTAAAATACATTATGTACATAAGTATAAACAAGTAGTTGAGAGGGCCTGGATTACATTGGGTTCCATTGCATTCCTTACTGAGATGAGACTCTAAAGACCATTATAAAAAAGCCGATTTGATGCCTTGGAGAAAGTAAAGGGTAGATGGATGCATTCTCAAAATAGGGGGTCACCCACTCCCAATATGCCCCTTACCTCAACACATGCATGCACACAATCTGGGTGGTTCCTTCAGGATTTGGAAGGCCTGGCTATCCATTGTGGTCATGTAGCAATGCCCTTCCAGGTTCCCTTGTTCCCTGCTTTGGTATGTGTATTAGTCTGTCCTCACACCACTATAAAGAACTGCCTGAGACTGGGAAATTTATAAAGGAAAGAGATTTAATTGACTCACAGTTCCACGTGGCTGGGGAGGCCTCAGGAAACTTAGAATCATGGTGGAAGGCACCTCTTCAGGAGAGAAAATGAGTGCTGAATAAAGAGGAAGCCACTTATAAAACCATCAGATCTCACGAAAACTCACTCACTATCACAAGCACAGAATGGGGGAAACTGCTCCCTGATCCAGTTATCTCCACATGCTCCCACCCATGACACATGGGAATTGTTACAATTCAAAGTGAGATTTGTGTGGGGACACAGAGCCAAACCATATCATTTTACCTTTGGCCCTTCCAAAATCTCATGTCCTCACATTTCAAAACACAATCATGCCCTTGCAACAGTCCCCTAAAGTCTTAACTTCCCAGAAGTCCAAGGCCAATAGCTTATCTGAGACAAGGCAAGTCCCTTCCACCTATGAGCCTGTAAAATCAAAAGCAAGTTAGTTACTTCCTAGATACAACAGGGTACAGGCATTGGGTAAATGCACCTGTTCCAAATGGGAGAAATCGATCAAAATGAAGAGGATACAGGCCCCATCCAATTCTGAAGTCCAATAGAGTGGTCATTAAACATTAAAGTTACAAAATAATCTCCTTTCACTCCATGTCTTATATCCAGGTCATTGCTGATGCAAGAGGTGTGCTCCCACAGCCTTGGGCAGCTCCAACCCTGTGGCTTTGCAGGGAATAGCCCCCCTCACCACCTCCTGGCTGCTTTTATGGGCTGGCATTGAGTGTCTGCAGCTTTTACAGGCACATGGTGCAAGCTTTCAGTGGATCTACCATTCTGGGGTCTGGAGGATGGTGGCTCACTTCTCATAGCTCCACTAGGCAATGCCTCAGTTGGGGACTCTGTGTGGGGCTCCAACCCCACATTTCCCTTCTGCACTACTCTAGCGGAGGTTCTCCATGAGGGCTCTTCCCTTGCAGAAAATTTCTGCCTGGACTTCCAGGTGTTCCCATACATCCACTGAAATCTAGGTGAAGGTTTTCAAACCCCAATTCTTGACTTCTATGCACCCTTAGGCTCAACACCACATGGAAGCTGCCAAGGCTTGGGGCTTGCACCCTCTGAAGCAATGGCCTGAGCTGTACGTTGGCCTCTTTGAGCCATAGCTGGAGCAGCTAGGATGCAGTGCACCAAGTCTGGAGGCTGCACACAGCAGAAGGTCCTGGGCCCAGCCCATGAAACCATTTTTCCCTCCTAGGCCTCCGGGCCTGTGATATGGTTAGCTGTGTCCCCACCAAATCTCAACTTGAATTGTATCTTCCAGAATGCCCACGTGTTGTGGGAGGGACCCATGGGGAGGTAATTGAATCATGGGGGCCATTCGTTTCCATGCTAGTCTCGTGATAGTGAGTAAGTTTCAGACAATCTGATGGATTTATCAGGGGTCTCCGCTTTTGCTTCTTCCTCATTTTCTCTTGCTGCTGCTATGGAAGCAGTGCCTTTTGCCTCTTGCCATGATTCTGAGGCCTCCCCGGGCATGTGGAACTGTAAGTCCAATTAAAACTCTTTTTCTTCCCAGTGTTGGGTATGTCTTTATCAGCAGTGTGAAATGGACTAATACAGCCTGTGATGGAAGGAGCTGCTGCGAAGGTCTCTGACATGCCCTAGAGACATATTCCTCATTGTTTTGGTGATTAACATTCAGCTCCTCATTACTTATGCAAATTTCTGCAGACAGCTTGAATTTCTCCCCAGAAAATAGGTTTTTCTTTTCTACCTCACGGTCAGACAGCAAATTTTCCAAACGTTTATGCTCTTCTTCCTCTTGAAAGCTTTGCTGCTTAGAAATTTCTTTCATCAGATACACTAAATTATCTCTCTCAAGTTCAAAGTTCCACAGATCTTTAGGGTAGGGGCAAAAAGCCACTAGCCTGTTTGCTAAAGCAAAGCAAGAGTTATCTTTTCTCCAGTTTCCAAGAAATTCCTAATCTCCATCTGAGACCACCTCAGCCTGGGCTTCATTGTCCATATTATTATTGGCATTTTGGTCAAAACTATTCAACAAGCCTCTAGGAAGTTCAAAACATTCCCACATCTTCCTGTCTCCTTTTGAGACACCCAAACTGTTCCAAATTCTACCTGTTACTCAGTTCCAAAGTTGCTTCCATATTTTTGGGTATCTTTATAGCAGTGCCCCACTCTCCTGGTACCAATTTAATGTATTAGTCCATTTTCATGCTGATATAAAGAACTGCCCAAGACTGGGTAATTTATAAAGGAAAGAGGTTTAATTGACTCACAGATCCACATGGCTGGGGAGGCCTCATGAAACTTACAGTCATGACAGAAGGCACCTCTTCACAGGGCTGCAGGAGAGAGAATGAGTGTGGAGTGAAGGAGGGAGCCCTTTATAAAACCATCAGATCTCGTGAGAACTCACTCACTATCATGAGAACAGCATAGCAGAAAACTGCTCCCATGATTCAATTATCTCCACTAGGATAATCCCCTTGACATGTGGGGATTATTACAATTCAAGGTGAGATTTTTGTGGGGACACGGAGCTAAACCATATCAGTACAGTTGTGGCTACATCCTAGAAAGCAGTGACACCCATGAGATGGCACAGGGAGTTGGTACTACAGGTACACAGAGCTCCTGAACATCTCATGTTGCTTCACAGCACATGATCAACTGAATCCTGTGAGTGTATGACCAGGAGGGCCAGATCCTGTCCCTAAATTCAAAGATCTGGTACTCCTGGATGCTGGGACTAAGGATGTGGAACAGGAACAACAAGCTGCTTGCCTGACTGCTGATGGCTTGGGGCCAGTGGTGGGGTTCCTTCCTCAACTTTGAGGCCACAGAGGTGCCCTTCCTTCTGCCTCTGGACAATAATGGAGGACAGTATCCAGCTGGTTTTTGAGCTGGAAATGCTCTACTAGTTGCCCTACAGCTCAGCAGCACTTGCCCATGGCCACCCCAACAGAGATGCTGCTCTTGCAGGTCAGCCTACTGGTTAAGAGCACAACTGGAGATGGAGATGCAGATGACCCATGGCTAATGCTTGCCTGCACAAGGACCTCATGGGCTGGCTCCTTTGCTTCCGAATGCCCAAGAGCAAGATGGAAAACAAGCACACCAAAGTACTGCTAGAGCTGTGCAGGAAAGAGCCCAAGTGCAGCTATAGCTAGCAGCCTATGGGCTGGTGGAGCGATGGCCTGACTTTCCCCTACACAGGCAAGGCCTGTGGGGAATAAGGGACAAGCTGTCGGTGTGCCCTCCATGTGCCCAGCTGGGGATGGGATGCACCTGAGGTCAGCAGACCCTGGACCAGGCCTTCATGTTGGCCACCACACTTCCCCACTTGTCTCTTGGGATTAGCCCAACCTTCAGAGGTGGGAGGTGGGAATGAGGAAGGGAAACAGAATTCTAAGGGAGCCCTTCAGCTTTGAGTTCAGGGGAGAAGGGGCAGGGAGTGAGGTTGTGCTATCGTCTGAGAACATTACCCTTAGGCTACAGACATTTTCCTTCTCTGCCTCTCATGAGGGACTGATGGAAGGCCCTTCAGCTTCTCATAGGTGCTTCAGTCAGGATCCTCCAGAGAAGTAGAACTAATAGAATGTATATAGAGAAAGAGATTTATTATGAAACATTGGCTCATGCAATTAAGAAGACTGGAAAGTCCAAATCTGCAGTGTGGACAGGCAGGCTCCACGCCTCGGAGTGCACAGTACAGCTGAGGTCCAAAGCCAGCCTGATGGATGCTTTCTTCTTGCTCCCGTAGGCACAACTTTTCCTTCTATTCAGACCTTCAACTGACTGAATGAAGCCCATAAAATTATCAAATTATAGAGGGTAGTCTTTACTGAAAGATCACTGATTTAAATGCTAATCTCATCCAAAAACAATGTCCAAGTTGATACATAAAATTAACCATCACCTGTGGGTGATCAAGGAGCCCAGAAGAGAGAGGGAAGTCTCATTGCAGCCACTCCCATGAGTGTCACTGACCAGAGCTGATGGTGAAGGGGTGCCCTCTAGGGTCAATGGCCATCTTGGATGTGGGAGTATTTCATTATTTCTCAGTTTTCATTGCTGGCATATCTCTCTTACTTTGGAGCAAGTGAGAGCCCAAAGTGTGCCTTCTGTTACATTTGCAACTGTGTCACCAGGTGGGTGAGCACAACAGTGCCCAGACCTCTCTGCCACATGGCTCCCCAGAGGACTACAGGCCAAGGCAGCAGACCCCTTGGCCCACAACATGAGAGCATGTTGGTTGGTGCTTTTATCTTTAATGAAGGTTTTTTTAGATGCAATATTTTCACTGAATACTTTATTTTATACATTTGTGACACTTTAGTTTTAGTGATGCTGATTTCTCTCTTAAGACTTTAAGGGAGGGGATAATATCCTTCCCTTTTAAAGTGTATTGATTGATGCCTAGACTATTAAAGTGAGCTGATTGCTCATCTGAGAAAGGTGAGCCTCAGTCATTTCTGAAAGGTCAAGATTCTCTGTAGCTGCATGTGTGGCTTGGGACAGTTTACTGTTTCTCAGTTCTGGATAAGGAATGTTTGGTGTTAAGAATCACAGCTTTGTGATCATGAACATAACTCTGTCAATTCTGTTCTGATAGTCACAAGTGCTGGGCATGGGAGAACCCAATAAATAGCATATGCCTCAATACCCCACCCCCCAGAAATAGCTGATATTTACTACCTGTGAAAACTTACCACCTAACAATAACTTTATGATCATTGTCATTTTCACAGTAGCCTGGATGGATGTTACTCTGTGTCCAGTCCACACACTCTGGATTTCCTATATTCTGAAACATGGCTGACATATTCTTCCTTCCATCTCATTGCTATAGTGAATTGTCTGTGTTCCTAAGAGAGACCAGACCCTCCACCTGTGAACTAGATTCCCTTGGCTGTCGCCCACTACAGACCTCATGTTTGCATATGCTTCTCTCTCTCTGGCCTCACTAGCATCACTCCTCTTCTGGATTATTCCCATTAGCATGAAATCACTCTTGGTGAAGCCAATTCTCTTTGGACCAACAATTCAATTCTTTTTCCATTTTACAGGAAAGCTCCTTAAAAGTGATGTCCATACCTAATATCTATAATGGTTCATCTCTTTTTCTCTTTTGAACCCTATAAAATCCTATTTTCATACCTATAACTCCCCCAATCTGGTTTTATTGAAGTCCTGTCGTAAACCACAAGGTCCGTTCTGAGATCAAATTATTTGACCTCCAAGAATATTTAAAGAGTAGATTTCTCCCTCCCCCTTGGACCATTTCTTTCCTTGCCTTCTGAGTAACCACACTTGCCTATCTTTTACCTCACTTCTTATTGTTTCTCAGTTTTCATTACTGCCACGTCTTATTTCCCTGATATTTAGGGCTGTAATCCCCTGGTGCTTCAGCACCAGGCTTCTCTTCTTCAGCTACGTGTGTGTACATATATGTAGGTATGGCTGTATGCTACCACTCTCTACCTCAATACTAAATAGCAGATTCTTTTAATCTACTGCCACTGGACATTTTTACTTGGATGTTGTATTGGTTGCTTATCTGAAACTTAACATTTCCCAAACTCAACATCTCATTTTTACCAACATCTTAGCAGTAACTATTTTAGTGTGGTAAAATACTTATTTATGCATGCATTTATTTTTATTTTTTTTCAATAGTTGCTGTTTTGTTGATTACCCCATCCACATCTTTTTCTATGAGAGATTTATGGTTTTCTGTATTTCTTGTGCCCTGTTTCTGGGTAAGCTTCTTATTTAAAGACATTTTTAAACTTCCAAAATGGACTAGATGATCTATAATCCTTTAATTCATGGGCAGACAGAATATTCATCTAGTCAATAGGAACTGTGCTTGAGTAAGGAGAAAGTGATCAGCCTCTTACATCTAAGCTTTGTTTTCTAAGTTGAGTGTATGTTTCTTCTGGAGGTGGTATTATGTCAATGAAAGACTCAGAGTCAATTATCTTCAAACAAGATCCATTTTCCAATCAATAAAGAACATTTTCCCTTTTTGATTGGCAGATATGAGTTAAATGTTGGCACAGCATTCAAATATTTATAATTCTGTTAATGAGGGTATTATTTTTTGTAATCCCAAAGGAACTGGCATCACAAAATGCCAAATATAATATAGTGTATCATAAGTGAAACATGGTGTTAGCTAGAAGTAACTGTAATGCATAGTTATTGACATAAGAGTGTATCACCTGTCATCTCATAAGGAAGAGTATGTTTTGTGGGAAATATATAGTATTCTATATTAATTCCTAATTGACAATTATTTATTTACAGTATTCTCTCACTCATGTCTTTTCTTGAATCTTCTGCATGAATTTTATGGTTTCATTCTATACGAGGCTTGATTATTACTTTAGGAAAACAATGAATAGTTGACAAGATTACCTTGAACCTGGAGGAAATGATAAAACAACAAGCAAGCTTCATTTTGTACTTACTTGCTTTCCTTTTGTTTGTACTTGTTTTAGTTATTTATAAGCTAATGATAGTTTTCCTTAATTGCTGGATTATTCTGAAATGCCAGGTTTATTTTATTTCACGTGGTTAAACTCAATAGAATATCAAGATTAAGCCAAACACTGAGTCTGTCACTTGGTAGTAATGAGAGGCATAAATTCTTGGTTGAATAAAACTCCGTGGCATTTATTGAATCAACATAATCCAAGGAAGTCATAGGTGAGAGAAGTCTCGCCCTTTTACAGAATTTCACAAGCTTTTCTCTTTTCTGACAGCTAATTGACAGCTAATTATTTTGATATGCATCAGTAAATTATGAATTCTTTAATAATTGGAAATAATTATTTTAAATGACCATCTCATTCAATTGCTAATATTAAAAGGAAAATAAGTACTTTAAATCTTTACTTAATGGTTGATTTTCATATATAGTTATTCCCTTTGAATGTGTCTTACATGTCTTGTATACTGATTATCCAATTGTTGTATGATTGCCATCTAAATTTTTGAGAAAGCTTCTAGTAATAGAGACAGCACTGTTCTTCAGTGTAGTATATCCAGTTTCTTCCTTTCAAAGGTGAAAATGAGACTGCAGTGAAATCATCCTGCATTTGCACCCCATCCTTGTTTCCTAAAATCTACCCCTTTGAAAGGTTCATCTAGGGCCTCTAGATTCATTTGATTTTTCACAGCTGTAAAATGGAGTAACATCGCATCTGGGAGATGTAAGGATTAAATTACACACGTAAAGAAAGTACCCAGTCGATAACTTAAAAATAATTGACTGTCTAAAGATAATCATCTTCCTTTCAGATGAAAGGAAATTTCTCCAAAACTAAGTAAAATATTTTGGTTACTGAAGCTCTGTGATGTGTGATTAGTTCAACCCCTTGGCATGCCACGAGAGATTGTTTCTGTCTACTATTTCATAGTTTATTACATGTGTACTTTAGTGTCACTTCTTAATTTTCTATGAGTTCTGCACACTCATTTAGACTAAAATTTATGTTATTTTTTTCTAATCCCAGTGTCTGTTGTTCCTTCTATGTGTCCATGCATTCTAATCATTTAGCTCCCACTTGTAAGTGAGAACATGTGGAATTCGGTTTTCTGATAACTAATGTGTACTAGGCTTAATACCCGGTGACAAAATAATCTGTACCACAAACCTTCATGACATGAGTTACCTGTATAACAAAACTGCACATGTACCCTTGAACTTAAAATTTTTAAGAAAACATAGGATCATATGGTTAAAAAAATAAATAAAATTTATGTTGGTTTGTTTTTCTTAATGTTAGTTTAAATGTGTTCAAATATATTAAAAGAAATATATCACTTAACAATATCTGCCCATAAAAATTTCTGGCACAATGTCAAGTGTGCAATAAAAATTCTTCAGTGGCCAGTTCTACCCTGATAATAGCTTCATTTACAAGTGTTAAATATAAATAACCACATCATAGGTGTTATTAACAGTTCTACATGCTTTATTTTATTAAAGGGAAGACTTTGCCTATTAAACATATAATTGTCATTGTACTGAATCTACTAGAATTGAAATACTTGAATTACTGTAAGTCACACATTTTTTGGGGTGTGTTTTCCAAATATGTCAAGCCAAAATGGACCCTCAGCTTATTCCATTCGATTATATATGTAAAATTACGTAAAGGATGACAGTAGACAGGTGAAAAAAAGATAAACTATACTAAATAGTACCAAAGGAAAAATCTGGCATTATTAAAAATTATTCAAAAATCAATAATACCAAATACATATTTATAAGAGGAGGGAAAATTAATTTCTAGTATAGTTACACATAAGGTAGCATAGGGATATAAAAAAGAATAAATAACAACTCTATGCAACACTATAGATAACATTAGAACCAGTATTGGGTAGAAAAAAGCATTATTACAGTACAGCAAAGCACCAATTTTATATACAGTAAAGCTCCATAAAGATCTTAAAATGTAATAAATACACATATACTTGCTAAAACTAGAGATACATACGTACTAAAACTCTACAAATGAACACAAAATTTTAAATGGAATTTAGTACAGTAGTTACCTTTCAGGGCAGAGTGGAATCAAATGGAAGGAACTGGACAATAGTATTCAGGGATATGTAACAGCAACATCAAAACTAAGAGGAGACACGAATAGCATTGTGTGCCAGATGCTGTTTCAAATGCTTCACATATAGTAACTTATTTAATGCTTATAATAATCTTATACAACAGGTGCCTGTATGCTATCACCCCCATCATGCAAATAAAGCAAGTAAAAGGACCTGCCCAACAGCACACAGGTATAACCCCAGAGCCCAGATTTAACTGGAGGTGTTTATCTCCAGAGTCTGCATGTCTTTTTTTCCCCATTGAGACAATCTGTGAATAATATTTTAAGTATTTTAATAGTGTGCTCATTAGAAAAAATAGATTTTAGCCAGAAACAAACATGCAGTATGTGGCTGGAAGCTACATAAATCCACAATAATCACAGCAATGGCCATTTTCCAAAGTGTTCTTCTTTGAGCAAAGGATGTACAATATATGAATTTATTAGGATATCTTTGCAGATTAAAGGCAAAAGATGATGTGCATTATAAATATATTATTCATAAGGAAATTATACACATCTTTCAATTTGATACATAAATAAGTATATTTACTAATATCTACTTAAATAATAAACTAACGTTCACCTTGTCTAAATTGGAAGCTTCCTTATAGGATAGTTCCATCAAATATTTCATATAATACCATTGGTGTTTGACTCTAAACTGATACATTTTCATAGTATTTATATAATCCAGAAGTAGTTTTTTTTTTTACAGAGTTGGTGAAAATGAAAATACCTTCTATATCCAAGGACATAAAACTTCAATGATAAGAACTGTAGGCAAGTTTCAAAAGGGAGGATATATTTTTACTATGATTTATCAGCGTGCACTATAAGAATGCACTGGGGCAGTGGCCAGAGGGCATTATTTCTAGGCTAGATTTAAGCCCAGTGAATGTAAAGTCACCTAGGCTATTCCTTTTGTTGTATTTTCCACTCCCTCAAGTAGTCACTTTGGTATTTTTTACTACCAGTGTTGCCTATTCCCGAATCTTATCACCAGCCCAGTATTCTTCTGTCAAGGAAGACTTCTGAGGTTTTAGTTCAGACCGCTGAATAATGAATAGTGCAATTTTCTGTATCAGGGGACAGGATTGAAGAACTGCTTTAAGAGAGACATGTTCAGAGATGCTGAACCATATATAGGTGTAGGATATGCAATTGGCAATATCTAGCAGGCTGTTGGATGTGTGGGCCTACATCTCATGAGAAAGGCATCAAACATAAGGCTCTGATTTTTGGCGACCATGTTTAAACACAAGTGAGAGCTAATAAGGCATGCAATACGGCTGCAAACAGATCCAGCATGCAGGAGGTAATAGCAATATTATCACTTAGAATACTGACTCAGTCAAAAATGCCAATGACTTCCAGCTGTGCACATGTCAGGGAACCACTTACTTCTAGAAACATTGATTACCTTATTTTGGGAGATACAAGGAGGGGGATGGTAGGAATGATACCATCTCTGATCATACACAGGGCTGTGTGCATATGTGTATAGTTGCCAGCATCAATTAAGATAATGTAGGTGAAAGTACTTTGTAAATTATTAAATAAATTCTAAATTGTAACCAAAGTGTAAAACAAACAAGAGGCTTTACTATAATTCTTACAGAATGTAGATTATAAGCAAGCTTTATCAGTTTTGTAAAAACTCTGAGGATTTATTAATTCTTTGGGCAACATATGTGTATTAGTTTGTTATCATGCTGCTATGAAGAAATACCCCAAACTGGGTAATTTATAAAGGAAAGAGGTTTAATTGACTCACAGATCCAGATGTCTGGGGAGGCCTCATGAAACTTGTAATCATGGTGGAAGGCACCTCATCACAGGGCTGCAGGATAGAGAGTGAGCGCCGAGTGAAGGAGAAAACTCCTTATAAAACCATCAGATCTCATGCGAACTCACTTATTATCAGGAGAACAGCACTCGGGAAACTGCCCCCATGATCCAATCACCTTCATTTGGTCCTGCCCTTGACACATGGGAATTATTACAATTCAAGGTGAGATTTGGGTAAGGACACAGCCTAACCATATCAATATGTTTATTTTTGTATTTACTGGAGAATGCTGAAGTTATCTTTACCTTCTCATTTCCATTTCATTCACAGAATCTTAAAGTTGAAATGGAAATGGAACTTCAGCATTACATCATCTGAGCACTTAGTTTTATACAAACCCAAACCACAAACTTAGTTTAGATTATTGATACAATTAGAATTCAGGTCTTCTAATTTTCAGTTTAGTGCTAAAATGAGTCAACTGATTGGGAGTAGAGACAGTTCTTCAGAATATTTTCCATTCCTGACCAATTGATTCAATTAACTCATCAAATATTACCTATATCTTTGATATTTTGTAGTATATTTTTATTTTGTAAAGTTACTTTAATGGAAGACATATATAATTTTCTATATTTGAGATAAAATACCAATTTACTTGAATACCTGCACATTAAAATACTTGAACAATATTATGGAAGTCCACATTAATTATGAAAGATAACTCCTAATAGACAAAGCATTCATACATTTTTTTACTCATTTAGCCTTGTATTTGCTTATTTATTTAATAAATATTTATTGAGCACCTGTTATAGGTAAGGCACACTTCTAGATGTTTGACAACAAATACTCTGGAGATAAGAGATGAACAAAATATAAGTGAAACAAACAGATTAGGAAATTTCAGATATTAATAAATGCTCTGAAGATAATCAATCTTTTGAGTTGAGGTATGAATAATGAGGAATCAGTCATAAAATGATCTGGTGGGGAAGGAAGATGAGTCCAGGCAGAGGAAACAGAGATGCAAAGATTTAGATATAAGGTATGCAGTGGAGTTAGGTTTCTCATTCATGTACTGTAAGAAAGCCTGACCTATTAAAGCACAAACTTCTCATCTGTGCATATGATATGTGGAGCCTGGTTAAAATTTGAAAGCTGTAGCTTATTTATCTACAAGTTACATATTTCAAATTAGTTAATTTAAGCTGAATTTCTTTAAAAAAATTAGTTGTTATATTTTTATCCAAACTGTTTAAACTGTGGAAATATGTAATATAATGAGGAAGAAAATATGTAAAAATGGGAGAGTATTGCTGAACAGAGGGCAAGTTTGGTTGCTGGATATGTAAGTTTTTAGGACAAAGAATTTTTACCTGAACTTGATTAATTGGGTGGAGAGAGAGGTGCCTGTTATTTTATTTTCTTTTGTTTAAATTTATTTTAATAGAAAGAGTAATCCAGCGATTCTCCAACCTTGGTGAGGATCATAATCATAATGAAATTGGTAAAAATAGAGGCCCGTGTTTTATCCTAAATTAACAGGCTTTGGCCCTGGATATTTCATCCATTTCAATGTGGTTTTAATTGTACCAAAGTTTTGCAATAAGCAGATAACTCTTGTCAACTGAAATAAGAGTAACAGTTCTGGTGGAAGATATATATAAATTACAGATGACATGTCTGATCTATTGTTTCAGAAGAAGAGATGCTCGTGATAGATGACTGGTAAGATGAGAGTAGTTATTGAAAACAGAAGCCTGTAAATTAGTAAATTCCACACACTGTTAACACTGAATCCCAGGTTTGCTAAGATCATGTGTTAAAATATTAAATAAGAAAAAGTCAGTGAGGCAATGAATCACACTTCCCTGGACTTTTAAATACCAGTCATGGTTTCTGGCCAACATTATTAGTCAATCCTGAGTCATTTGATGAACTCAGATTATCTTTTTCCTGTATCCAGCACATTTTGCTCATTCACATCCTAACTTTCAGATTTTATTTTCTTTCTCTACTGAGACAGATTGTTTTTGTGTATATATTTTTTTTCTTTGAGATGGAGTTTCACTCTTGTTGCCCAGGCTGGAGTGCAGTGGCGCCATCTTGGCTCACTACAGCCTCTGCCTCCTGGGTTCAAGAGATTCTCCTGCCTCAGCCTCCAGAGTAGCTGGGATTATAGCTGTCCGCCACCACACCCAGCTAATTTTTTTTGTATTTTTCGTAGAGATGGGGTTTCCTCATGTTGGCCAGGCTGGTCTTAAAATCCTGGCCTCAGGTGATCCATCCAGTCTCGGCCTCCCAGAATGCTGGGATTACAGACATGAGCCACCATGCCTGGCTTTTTATTTATTATTATTATTTTTATTTTTTATTTTTTTATTTTTTTTGAGACGGAGTCACGCTCTGTCGCCCAGGCTGGAGTGCAGTGGCGTGATCTCGGCTCACTGCAAGCTCTGCCTCCTGGGTTCGTGCCATTCTCCTACCTCAGCCTCCTGAGTAGCTGGGACTACAGGTGCCCACCACCACGCCAGGCTAATTTTTTTAATTTTTTTTATTTATTTTTATTTATTTATTTATTTTTAGTAGAGACGGGGTTTCACCGTGTTAGCCAGGATGGTCTCGAGCTCCTGACCTTGTGATCCACCCGCCTCTGGCCTCCCAAAGTGCTAGGATTACAGGTGTGAGCCACGGTGCCCGGCCCAAATGCCTGGCTTTTCAGAAACATTTTTCTTGTTACTAACAATTATTGAATTTGTAGGGTATGGGATTCACAGTTTAAATGTAGTGGTGGATATTGAAGATGAAGACTACTGTTACAATAACTACAACCAACCAACCAACCTCTTGTATGTGTTAGGTGTTGGGTTAGGCATAGGAGATGTGTGGAAGAGAAATGGTTCATTCCCTTAATGAGTTTACTTTCTAGCAAAAATTTACAGTGAATATGAAATAACCATACTTATATAGCTCTTATTTAGCCTCCCTATTTATCTAGATGTCTTTGAATGAATGAATACGTAAATGTAAACATTACTATAATGATCAAATTGTTCTCAGGCATATCATGACCTTGCATATCAATTTTTGTAATAGAATAGTTATTGCAATTCCAGGCATTTTCCTTGAAATCATATGCCAAAATAACTTTGTGTCTGTGTTTGACTTGGCTATGACCTGTGAATAGATGCACAGGATGGGTCAGATATGCTCTTAGTGTTTTCTGGGTTCATAAGTCAAGTACTATATTCAATTTTACATCTTGCATTAATTGATCATAAAGATGAATTTCCAGCATCAGAGAGAACCAACACCATATAAAATATAGTGTATAAAGGAATAACAATTTTGTTTAAATATGTTTATATTTAATAGTATATCATTTTATGTCTTTTTTTGTATGGACTTCCATTAAAATTTAAAGGCCACATTTGTTTGAGAGTTTGAGCATCAGTTAAAATTAGGGAGAACAAAGCTGTTTGTGTAAAAGATGGTGGAAATAATTATTTAATGTTTGGGGACATTATTATGTTCTGAATAACTGAAAACTGTGCCGAGTGTTACACTGAGAAGTAAATCCAAGATAGCTATGAATCACTAATTGAAGGAAGGCTAATAGAAGCATACATTTTGCACTAAATTTCTGAAACATTTGGTGAACAGAGAACAGCCAGTCCTTGTATTTTTTCCCCTCAGCAGTATGTTCCTGAAATGAACTTCAAATATCAAGATGCAATAAACAAATCATTTCGTCCCCATAAAGTTTAAGTTAATATAAATACATAGTTGTTTCCAACCCAAATTGGCATCCATAAGTTAAAATGCTCATTTCAGCTACTTCTTGCGCTAGTTCAGCTGTTTGTAGAGACTTGAGTTAACAAATATTTACTGAGCTTATACTCTATGTCAGGAATTCTTCCAAGTATATTCTTCTCAGCATTATGCCTAAGGCTGGGGATCAAAAGGCAAGCAATATATGATCCCTACTTCAAGCAGCAAAGGAAGGATATAGGGAGGTCGGTGTAGGGCGTTTGCTACTATGTTCACTGTAGGAACTAATTCCCACCTGGATGGAGATGAGTACGTCTCTTTGGAGAAAGACAGCAAAATAGGATATGGGCTCCACTTTGTAGGATAGAGGAGGCACTGCCATTCAATGGAGAACACAAGGGGGTTTTCAGGGAACAATGTGAGCCATACCCATCACAGGCATGCTGTCTTTGAGAAGCCCAAGTCCCAGTGTGGCTAAGATTGTGCTGTTGAAAGCTAGGAAGCGGGGAGTATGTGAAGGGCCTTAATGCCAGGCTCAAAATTTAGGGCTCTACCTGCCAAATATCAGATTTGTGCATTAGAATATAACAGGGATCTGTTATTTAGCTTGTCAAGCATTTTCCTTTTTGGGTATCAGGCCCTCTTTAGTCTCAGTCTTTTAGACCACATGGGTTTGAACACCCTTCTCATTGTTGAATGGGCTTGTATCTCAGACCTGGCCAATTCAAGCATTCCTTCCTTTCATCTCTTTAATAAGGCAAATAGTAAATCAAGTATATATAGATAATCAGTTATTTGTAACTATCAGTTAATAGACATTTTATATTTATCCCGTGATCATACTGATAGAATGTAGCTAAAAGCAGCATTATGAGAACAAAGAGTAAGAACCCTTATTGTAGGCAACAAAAAGGTAAGCAAACAGGAAGCATAAAGAGGAACAAATACCTGCATATATTATCTGTACACTTGGAGCTAGTCATGCCTAAAGCTAAAATGTCTTCTGAGTTTTCAGTCATTTGGTCCTTACTGGTATTTACTATTCTTTTATTTTTAATAACCACTTGGAGTTAGGTTTTGACCATTTTCAACCAAAATAGTTGTAACTAATTTTTTAAATGTTACAAAAAGAGATAATTAAAATACAGTCATGTAATTTTTTAAAACATGAGATGAGAGGACCTGTACTAGGAAAATAAATGAGAGCAGAGAGTTGAGATGTAAAATTGGAAGGATAAGAAAATTTGAAAGGTAACAAAAAGAAGAATACATTATTACTCTAAAGATTAAGTAAAACAGGGAAAACAGGAGAAAGAAGGTAACGTTTCTGGGTAGCTAATCAGTGATAGTTTTGTTTTGGAACCTTAGGGTTTTGGTCCCTTATTAGAATTAATTTTAGCAAATATTAGAAATATAGCTCTGTAACTCAGGAGAAAAATTAGGCCAAATATACAAATTTAGGATTTGTTAACATGGTTGAGAGAGAGAGAGAGACAGAATGCTTGGAGGCACATCAAATGTACTCATGTCTCAGAAATCAAGAGTAGACGGTGTCCCATAGAAAGGGATTGAGATCATTATAAAATCAAGTGCAAACTTTAAACCAATGAGGGTTAGTACAAGATCGCTGAATCTTGCATGTTAAATGCCATCAACATTTTCTTTTCCTTTTCCTTTTTTTTTTTTTTTTCTTTTTTGAGATGGAGTCTCTCTCTGTCACTCAGGCTACAGTGCAGTCGTGAGATCTCGGCTCATTGCAACCTCCGCCTCCTGGGTTCCAGCGATTCTCCTACCTCTGCCTCCCTAGTAGCTGGGACTACAGGCGCATGCCACCACACCTGGCTAATTTTTGTATTTTTAGTAGAGACAGGGTTTCACCATGTTGGACAGGCTGGTCGTGAACACCTGATCTCAGGTGATCCGCTCCCAAAGTGCTGGGATTACACGCGTGAGCTACCATGCCTGGCCACCATCAACATTTTCAAGACTGGTAAAATGGTGACTGCAATCATCAAATTGCAGTGGATTGGGTGGAGGTGGTGGGGGGTGGAGGGGGAGAGCTGTTTAAAAATGAAGCAATAAAGGTGAATTGTCTTTTTCATTAAACCTGGCGATACTAAAGGAAGGCATGCTAGAGAAAGGTTTAAAAATACTAAAAACACTGAAAAATATTTTATGAATTTATGGCAATAGGAGGAGAAAGAGAAAACGAAGGAAGAGGAGACATAATTTAGAAAAACTAAAAGCACAAGAGATAAGTAAACTAATTTTGTATGATTCTAGAAGAAGGAGAAGATGGCAACCTTGGGTATAGATGGGGGTAGTTTCACCTGACCCTGGCAGGAAGAGAAAGTGCAGATGAAATTTAGTTTTGAGAGAAGAGAGGAAAGAAGAAAACATTACTGTTTGCACTTTGGTGAAGGAGAAGGCTGGGCAACATGCCGAAAGTACAGCCTGTGGAAAGAGGAGCTTGAGAATTATGTTCACAACAGTGATTATTCAGAAGAGAAAAAGGCCCAGATGAGTTGATCAGAGATTTTATTTTTAATTCATAAATGTAACTAAGTTTCCTGGGAAAGCTGTAAATCTACATGCACTGGAGCCTTGCAGCCTGTCTATGAGCTACCTATTGCAGAATCCAAGAAGTGAAATGCTTAGGGGTACCCAAGGTTTATATTGACTGCATGACTATGGTAAAACATTAAAGTAGCAAATAAATGCAAGCTGATAGTAAAAGGCATGACTTAGGGTTCACATGGTGGTCACAAGATTCAAGCCAAATAACTTGTTAAATGATATCTCAAGGAAGCAATAACCTGGGAGAATAGTTCATCAAAGGACAAAGTTTAGCTAGAACATTAATCATAGGGCAGTAAAGAAAATGTAATGCCAACATACAGTTTTAAAAACTGTATATCCTGGGTGATGACAAGGTCCATGATGTATGTGCACATAGATAATAATATACAATATCTATAAAACTATATGTGTTATGGAAAACTCAACTGAAAGAGAACTGAAACTCTTTGGTATGACTTGGGGACAGCTGGGGACAGTGACTCCAATAGGGCAGTGATGTTCTGGAAACTAAGATACTGAATGAGTCAACTTAGTAGTATGAGGCATTTTGGAAGTTGGAAAATAAAAGTTGAAGAAAATGAGATGAAATGATAAAAAAACAGGAACTTGTTTTACAGACTGGCTACTTTCAGGAGAATATGTATTTACAATATTTCAACTACATATTCACAGCTATAAATGGATTTACAGACTAGTAATACAACCTCAACTGTAAAATTACAAACATGCCATTTTAAAAAATATTATCTAGTCTATAATTTCTGTGATATTAATTTTTTCAGGTCATTGTTTCATTGATCAATCCAAGCAAGTTATTTTTATAGCTAGGCTTATTTTAGTGCAAGGTTACTCTTTCTCAGTTGACCAAGCTCAAATATTGTATTTTATATCATGGCAGGAGGCATCCAAAAAAGAATAAAATTCAGCCTTTCAAAAAACTAGTTGATTTTATATTACTTTGGTTTACAATTTAATAAATGACCTACATGCAAAGCATTTGTGAGAGACTGCATTTAGGTAAGGGGGAGTTTGGAGATTATAAACAAACTGCATTAACGGGGAGGCTGGAGTCACTTAGACAGAAAAGGAAAGCAATAAATCAAGTTTAAATGGGCAACATTAATGGGAGTTACAGGCGCACATCTCAAAATGAATATTCCCCAAAGAATTTATGGAACACCTCTCATAATTGGAAAAAGACAGATTTTACAACTATCTTCAGGACAAGCCGCCAATAGCATAAAATACATAGCTTTAGTGTCAAGAGAAATGTATGAGACAAAAGGGAGACTTAGTTGAAACAGAGAAAGAAAATAGGAGGAAACATACAGCCTGTGCAATAGAACAGACCTGCAAATAGGCCCTGACTGGGGTGTAATACTCGGAGCAAATGGAGATGCCATACTAAAATTAAAACAGGGTTTAATTGCTATTGAAAACAACCTGCAAATATTGTTTTTAGAATAAGACAACAGTAATTTAATTTGCATTCTTGTCACATAAATAAGTATATTAGATCTTTTGAATTCTTACTAGTTGGAATGAATTTTAGAAATTAAGCTTTACCTTTGTTTATGTTGGATTTCTTAAAAATTACTAAAGAGTATTTAATGAGGAAAGAAAAATCTCTGTAATGCAGTGATTAGCAATTTCAACTGTATAATCAGTTTTATATTAAATATTTGCTTATTTTGTGAAAGAAGATCACAATAATTAAAAGATCCAGACTTTACATGTTTTTTTAATCATAGGATATATCAAGTGGTAATTCCATGTGTCATTGTATAATTCATACCAATATAGATATACTAGGTGTATAAGGTTTGTACTTTTAAAAATGTTCTCTCTTTTTCTTTTTGCTTTCATTTTTGAGGCTCATGATCTTTAGATTCTGTCACTCAAAAGAGAGAAAGAGTGCATATTTAACGAGATGGCCTATTCTGCTACCTGAAGACTAATGTAACTGCATTCCCTACCACTGTTAAGTCAAATTATCATTTAGGTACATTATCCAAAAGGGGTCTCATATTTTAAAACATAATATTTTTATTTTATAATAGTCTCAGATTTACAGAAAATTGTCGAGATAGTACAAAGAGCTCCCATATATACCAACCTCAGGCTCCCATATATCGACGTCTTACATAGTATGCTGCCTTTGTCTTAAATAATGAAGCGTATGGTAAATTTGAGGATTCTGTTAGAATCTCAAGTGAAGTTGGATAATAGTGGGTTAGAACCCAAAGGAGAGGCTTACATTAGATATAAATTTGTTAGTCATTACAAAAAAATGATAGGTAATATCAGGAGATGACATAAAATACTCTAGGATGTAAGTTATGTACAGAAGAGAAATGTGAGTATATATGGAAAGGAAAAAAGAACTGAGAACCACATCTTCAGGTGCTCTAACACTGAAATGCCAGGAAGAGAAAGAGGAAAACTAAAAATAAGTGACAGTGAAGGAGGAGAATCACGTGAGTGGGATGTTCCAGAAGCCGAGGAAAAGTGTTCTAAGGAGGAAGTGGACAAATATGTTAAATGCATTAAAAGAAGGCTAAGGAGTGACCTTCAGATTTGTCAGGATTTGTCAGACTAGCAATCTTTGATTACCTCAACGTAACAAGTTTCATGAAATGACATGGACATAATTCTCAACAAAAAAGGAAAGTGAAGTGAAAGCAAGAATAGAGAACAACGTGACAGGTTTAGCTTGAGGAGCCATGGGCCTCAAAATCTTGATGGATTACAACATCAAACATTGATTTTTATGCTCCCTTGTTTGAAGATTGGCTCTGTTTGGCTGATCTCCACTGGATTGGTCTTGACCTGATGACACTCCAGGCTTACAGTTGGGTCCAGTTTTGTTCCTCGTGTCTTCATTCTAGGGCACAGGCTGAAGGGCCAGCAGTTACATGTCTTCTGTGCTTCTCATGCACATTGTAGGAATTCAAGAGAGCAGAAAAAATAACAGAAGTGATCATCAAGCCTCTGCTCATGTCACATCCAATGACATTCCATCAGGCAATCAATGATGCAGCCAAGCCCATATTGGGAACAGCCAAGCCTGTTCCCAATATGAACAGGGCTGGGAAATATACACCACAAAATCTAGAGAAAGGTATGAAAGACTTGTATGAAAAATATAATCAAATCTAACACAGGGCTGTTATATCAGGTGAACTATTTTTTAAAGATAGTATAATGGCGTGGTTATAGCCTATAAGAGTGATCTTACAAAGAAAAGAAAAAATTACAATGCAAGAGAAAAAGGTGATAACTGCAGGGGCAGGGCTTATTCAGGGCAGTAAAAAGGAATGTGGTCCAGAATATAAAGGACTGGGTTTGGGTGGGAGCAGGAGCATTTAACACACTGTGACAGGAGAGAAGACAGAGAGTGTGAGTAAGGTACCAGCAGATTAGTAGATTTGACAGTGAGCTGATAGCATTATTCTTATCTAATTAAATCCCTTACATTTCTTTTTATCTATTTTATTGACTGGATATTTGTTTCTCCTGCTCATAAATAATGTTTTTTTCCCAAAAATATGTATTTGTGGCAATTCTCTTAACAGTTTATTGTACGGATATTACTCATGTTGCAACTTCAACCATTAACCTATGCAAATTAATCCCAAACCAGTACCTCAGGCCCAGATCTGCCTCATTTATGTTCTACCCTTGCAGGTCGTATTGCTCGGTAACTTCAGTGGCAAATTTTGCTAACTCTACAAATGGCGTATGAAAATTAATTAAGAAATATATCTTTGTCTCTTCTATTCATGTTTAACATAAAATGACTTCCAATTTACTAGTCTATGTGGCCTAAAATTTCAAGTTTACATTATTCCTCCTGTGCTTTAACATGATATTTAGTATGTGATTTAGATTTGTTAATTTTTAACATTGTGTTTTAAGTATTACAATTTCCTGTCTATTCCATTTCTACACATTAGTTTGGCAACTAATTGTAATTATGTATATTTATAATTTAACCTAATAGAATAAATGGTCCTTGAGTAAAATATTATGTATATATACACACATATATACATATACATGTATGTATTTATTGCATATGATAAAATTGTATACACACATATATATGTGTGTATATATATAATATGGATATATTTGGTAGGTATATAGACACACATATATATGTATGGAGATTATATATATAATATGGATATATTTGGTGGATAATATATATATAAATCTATATATATTATATATATCACACACAATATATATGTGGATTTATATATGTGTGCTATATATGTATATATATATATATATCTCCACCAAAAAAGTTCTCTATAAAATGCTTTAGTATCTATCTATTGAATGTTGATTCATAGAAAAGTAATGTGCCATTCTAGGTCCATATAATTCGGGGTCTCAACAGAAAATGGTTAGTAAAGAGGAACAGATTATTGGTAAGTTTAATAAAGGGACAGTTGTTAGTTGTTATAAAGGTATGTGTAGAGGTAAGGTCAACCAACACATACTAGTGCAGTGTTAGTGACTTGCAGTAAGGGAGCTGGTATCACCACTTGGTCTAATGAGGCAAATAATTTAGCTGCCAGCATATCCTAGACACTATAGCTGTAGCATAGGCTGTTGAACAGGAGGGTTGGCCTTCATCCGAGTGACACAGCTAGCCCTTGATGAAATTAAATGAAAGACCCAGGAACATGAATAGTTTCTTCTCACTCTCATCTTGTCTTCTGTATTTGTCCATTTTGTGCTGCTATAAAAGAACTCCAGAGACTAGGTAATTATAAAGAACGGAGGTTTATTCTTATGGTGTTCTGGGAAGGCCAAGGTCGAGGTGACTGGATCTAGTGAGGACCTTCTTTCTGCACCTTTCCATGGTGGAAAGTGAAAGGGGCAAGTGAATACCCCATCATACTCCTATGTAACTAACCCACTCCTGCAATAACAGCATTAATCCATTCATGAGAACAGAGCCCTCACGATCTAATTACCTCTTAAAAGTCCACTTCTAGGCTGTGCGCAATGGCTCACGACTGTAATCCCAGCACTTTGGGAGGCCAAGACG
The DNA here is from genome assembly GCF_000001405.40 of Homo sapiens. Classification (NCBI taxonomy): domain Eukaryota; kingdom Metazoa; phylum Chordata; class Mammalia; order Primates; family Hominidae; genus Homo; species Homo sapiens. The sequence continues at coordinate 22,587,081 of NC_000005.10, read as the reverse complement.
GGCAGATCGCCTGAGGTCAGGAGTTCGAGACCAGCCTGGTCAACATGGTGAAACCCCATCTCTATTAAAAATACAAAAATTAGCCAGGCGTGGTATAATCTCAGCTACTTGGAAGGCTGAGATACGAGAATCACTTGAACCCAGGAGGCGGAGGTTGCAGTGACCCGAGACCACACCATTGCACTCCAGCCTGAGCAAGAAGAGCAAAACTCTGTCTTCTCCAAAAAAAAAAAAAAAAAAAAAATCCTCCTCTAAACTCTGTTGCATTGGGGATTATGTTTCCACCTTCAAACCATTGCATTCTGTTAGCTCCTTCCAGAGCCTCCAAATGGACAAACACAGTGGAATTCAGTGAATCTATAACCCCATTGATACAGTAAAAAATATATTTCAAATCAGGATTAAAAATTGTGAAAACTGGTGTGAAGGAGAAAATGAGAAAAATTCAGCAGAGCAAGCTTCAAAATGTTTATTCATCTTTATGTAATTATAGGATATCATTTGATTTTCAATAATTTTTTCTAAATCCCCATATCTCTTTTGCAGAAATATTTTACTTCAAGTTTTATTTTTATTTATATATATATATATTTTATTATACTTTAAGTTCTAGGGTACATGTGCACAATGTGCAGGTTAGTTACATATGTATACATGTGCCATGTTGGTGTGCTGCACCCATTAACTCATCATTTACATTAGGTATGTCTCCTAATGCTATCCCTCCTCACTCCCCCCACCCCACAACAGGCCCCAGTGTGTGATGTTCCCCTTCCCGTGTCCAAGTGTTCTCATTGTTCAATTCCCACCTGTGAGTGAGAGCATGCGGTGTTTGGTTTTTTGTCCTTGCGAGTTTGCTGAGAATGATGGTTTCCAGCTTCATCCATGTCCCTACAAAGGACATGAACTCATCATTTTTTATGGCTGCATAGTATTCCATGGTATATATGTGCCACATTTTCTTAATCCAGTCTATCATTGTTGGACATTTGGGTTGGTTCCAAGTCTTTGCTATTCTGAATAGTGCCACAATAAACATACGTGTGCATGTGTCTTTATAGCAGCATGATATATATTCCTTTGGGTATATACCCAGTAATGGGATTGCTGAGTCACATGGTATTTCTAGTTCTAGATCCCTGAGGAATCGCCACACTGTCTTCCACAATGGTTGAACTAGTTAACAGTCCCACCAACAGTGTAAAATTGTTCCTATTGCCAAGTCAATCTTAAGCCAAAAGATCAAGTTTTAAAATAAATAATTCTAAGGGCAATTTTGAAAGAACGACCTAGAAACCATAAAGCTCCAAAAAAGTAAAAAAGCAGCTCTGAAAATAACAAAATTAAACTTTAAAAAAAAAATGTAGTAAAATGTCACTGGACGGGTTTAAGGGCAGGTTTTTCCTGATTGACAAGACAGTTGGTAAACTGAAAGATCCTTCAGAAGAAAGTATCAAAAATGAACACAGAGAGACAAAAACATTGAATGTTGACAAAGTTAAGAGACATAGAGATTAGAATGAGAATATGTAACATGTGATTTGAGTAGGGAGGGGATTTTCCCGAAGAAGATAAGAGGAGGGAAGAATAAGGCACAGGCAGTGTTTACAATATCATTACTAAAAATTGTCCTGAAGTGTTTAAAGATACAGATCCATAGATTCGTGAAGCTCCACAAATCTCAAACAGTATAGGTAAAAAAAAGAGCTCTATGCCTAAAGAAATCATTGTGAAACTGCAGGAAATCAAAGACAAAAAGAAAATCTTTTAAATAGCAAGAAAAGAGAGTTTCTTCAAGCAAGTGGCGGTTACGCTGATCTTTTACACCCCAGCAGCAACAATGGAAGACATAGTGGAATTAAATAGGCAGGGTGCTGGAAGAAAATATTCTCTAATGTAGAATTCCGTACATGTCAAACTCTTTCAAAAACAACGTTACTTTCAGAAAAAACAATAACAGAAGTATATTCTACCAGAAGATTCTAACTTTTGAAAATAATTTAGGCAAGTAAAATTATACTGAATAGGAGAGAGGTCTAAGATGTTTAAAGGAAGTGAGTGATAAATGTAACTGAACTGAAAGCTAGCTTATTAAACAGTAATAATTTATCCTTACAAGGTTTTTTTTAGTAGTAAATTTTTTTAAGATAAATATTATGGCAGTATCTTGTAAGGCAAAAGAGTGAAAGAAATGGTGTTAAAGAGTTCAAGGTAATTTGTGATGCCTGTCAGAAGGGTAAAAATGACGATGAACACAGTAAGCTATGATAAGTTCAGTATATGTATTTTATTTTTAGGCTACCTATTTCAATAGATAGTAAGAGCCTATAACTTATAGAGAAAGAAAGGATGGAATGACAAAAAGTAATCAGAACATAAAAAGAAGGAAGAAATGAGCTAAGAGAAATATCACAGCCAGCAGAAAACCAAAGTGAGATGACCTGCCATTACTATTTCTAGAAATATATGCTAAAGAATTCAATGCACATATGCACAGAAATATCAATTGCAGCATTGTTTGTAACACACAAAAAAATTCAAAACAACTCAAATGCTAATCCATAGTAATATACATAGTTAAATTGTGTTATATTTTTTAAATGGCAAACAATAAAAATGAATAAATTATAGTTTCACTAAAATAAAAATCTTAAAAACACAGAATTAAAAAAAATAAATTCCTTCCAGGAGCAGTGGCTCACACCTATAATCCCAGCACTTCGGGAAGCCGAGGCAGATGGATCACCTGAGGTCAGGAGTTTGAGGCCAGCCTGATCAACATGGTGAAACCCCGTCTCTGCTAAAAGTACAAAAGTTAGCTGGGTGTGATAATGCATGCCTGTAGTCCCAGCTACTTGGGAGGCTGAGGCAGGAGAATCCCTTGAACACAGGAGGTGGAGGTTGCAGTGAGCAGAGATCGTGCCACTGCACTCCAGCCTGGCGACAGAGCAAGACTCCGTCTCAAAAATAATAAATAAATAAATAAATAAATAAATAAATTCCGCAAACAATATAGATGATTCCCCTTAAAAAAATTCAAAAGCAAAAAAAAGCAACTAGATAATAGTTTGATGGATACATTAGTGCAGAACCAGGGGGAAAAAGTAAATACTAAGATTCACTTTATTCAGAAAGAGGCAATTCTGATTGGGAAGAGATACATTTGTTTCTTTTATAGGAGCTAATCATAGTTTATTTCATGAATAATAAATTAGTTGCATAGGGTGTTTGATTTATTATACTTGTTAAATTTCACAATGAAGACACTATATTATCTTTATTGATTTCATTTTAAGAAAAAAGCCTGTGAAAAGTTTTAGGAAACTATGGATGAGTGTTCTTTCTTAAAAATCTCTTTTCCAGATTCAATATCCCCCAGATCTGTGACTTTTATTCTCCTTTCAAAATCCCATCTTCATCCTCATGTTCCTTTTTGTTCTGACTTTTGTTTTACATTATCTCTTAAAAATCATGGCATTCCAAGGCAAATAACCTCTACATGTGTTACAAACAGAACATATCTAAATTGATTAAGACGGTTTCCTTCCATTAAAGGATTATGTTATTTCATTATCTTATTTTAGCAAATTCACCATAGTCGTTAACTTACCTAGGCATGTGGTCAATAAAAAACTATCAATTTCTAAATTGGTTCTCTTTTCTGTATGTAAATAAGTGAATTTTAAAATATAAATAAAATATTTTAAATTTGTCTTCTTCATGTCTGCTAATCATGCCTATTAACAGCATTTTAAAACTTAATTTGACTCATTTTGTGTTTGTTATTTTCCTAGTTTGAAATTATCTTCATATCTGATATACATAGTTTCTATGTCTTCACTGATGTGACTGGTCAACACATTGCTGACAACTGGGTATAGAACAGTCCTTAAAGATAGCTATTGAGAAATCCTTCTAAGTTGAACACTTTGGTAAGAACCCCTTTTCCGTTTACCAAACTACCAAGATTCTCCTAGAGAGGATGCTGTTGGTACTCTGTGTAGATGAGTGCCCTGAAATTTGTTACTATTTCTGCGTACCTCTCTGCTTGCTTCAAAGTGCGCTTTTCTCTCTACTGGCCCAGTTGTTACTCTTCTATGGTAGATGACCCTTTAGCAGCAGGGGTTTCATTGCCTGAATAGAGAGCCAGAAACATGTGAGGGTTTATATCAATCCCCCTATAGTGCTGGCCAAAGTCCATAACCACATTCAAGAGTACAAACCCCCAGCTCCTTTGCCTCTAGTTTGACAAATTCAGATGACGTTTTGACCATCCCATCTTTCATGAAAACATGATACAATTGCAGTAAACTTTTTTGACTCAGGATTCAGTAGTATGCTCAGTAATTCTTTGCCTAATGTGTTACATAGTAATTATACTTACAAAGAAATGACATTGATAATTAAGGAAATGCAAATTAAAAACATGACATGGTTTGACAATAATGTTTCTCACTAATATATACATTTTAGAAATTGATTATGACAAATAATACTAAAGATGTTGGGCAGTGGAGGCTCTCAGGTACTCCTGTGGGAACAATTTAGGATTATTTGGTAAAGTTGAATTAATAGATCCCATGCTATCCAGTAATGAAATTACTCATACACTCACCAGGAAGCATATACAAGAAAGTTTACAGCATTATTTTAAGTGGGAGGAAAAAAGTAGAAATGACCCAAATGACCATTAACATACAAAGGGATGAATTAATTTTGACATATTCATAAATGAATTATTGCTGCATATGTCACTGTGGATGCATTGCCACATGCAGGTGATGAAAAGAAAGGCCAAAAAAGCATAGATAAAATAGTATGTCATCTATATTAAGGTGAATTCATATGGTTATAAATTTAGGAAAACATACATACAGGATAAAATAATATAAAACATCAACACTGAGCTAATGATGGTGAGGGCATAAGTATTCTTTGGGAGCAACAGGAGGATTATACAGGATGCTCCCAAAGTCTGACATATGAGGGTATTTGATTTGGGGCCAGAGGGTAGACAAACATATTGTTTTTTTTAATCTTTAATCTGCACATACATACTACCTCTACCCTTACTCTCATAAAATGTGCCGTGAGTTACAATGTTCTCAGAAAGATTATGATGAAAAGATAGGCGAGTTCAGGAGATAAAAGTTCTTGTTAGAACTCTTCCCTTACCCCTATTTTTTCATAGAAATGTTTTCAGGCTGTAATTTTTTTTTAGCCAGGATTTGGTAAGAAAAGTTAAAAATGTGGTCAGGCAAAGCAAAGAAACTTAAGAGCTATGAGGCAAAAGCATCAGGTAACATATAAAGGAAAACCTATCAGATTAAGAGCCCAGCTGCCTTCACGGGCTGTCATTGAGTGTCTGCAGTTTTTCCAGGCTCATGTGTAAGCTGTCAGTGGATCTTTTATTCTGGTGTCTGGAGGATGGTGGCCCTCTTCTCACAGTTCCACTAGGCAGTGTCCCAGTAGGTACTCTGTGTGGGGCCCTGACCCCACATTTTCCTTCCACATTGCCCTAGCAAGCCTCAAGCCTTGGCAACTTCCATGTGGTTTTGAGCCTGCCAGTGCAGAAAAGTCAAGAATTGAGCTTTGGGAACCTCTGCCTAGATTTCAGAGGATGTATGGAAACCTCTGCAGCAAACTTCTGCCTGGGCATTCAGACATTTCCAAATATCCTCTGAAATCTAGGCAGAGGTTCCCAAAGCTGCCAAGGCTTGAGACTTGCACTGTCTGAAGCCACAGCCCAAGCTCTATATTGGCCCCTTTCAGCCATGGCTGGAGCAGTTGGGACTCAGGGCATTTAGTCTGTAGGCTGCACACAGCACAGGGACCCTGGGCCTGGCCCACAAAACCACTTATTCCTCCTAGGCCTTCAGGCCTGTGATGGGAGGGGCTGCAGTGAAGACCTCTGACATGCCCTGGAAACATTTTCCCCATTGTCTTGGGGATTCATATTTGACTCCTTGTGACATATGCAAATTTCTGCAGCTGGTTTAAATTTCTCCCCAGAAAATGGGATTTTTTTTCTATTGCATTGTATCACTGCAAATTTTCTAAAGTTTTATAAAGTCTGGTCCTTTGATAAAACCAAATGCCTTTAACAGCACCCAAGTCAACTCTTGATTGCTTTGCTGCTTAGAAATTTCTTCCACCAGATATCCTAAATCATCTCTCTCAAGTTCAAAGTTCCACAAATCTCTAGGCCATGGGCAAAATGCCGCCAGTCTCTTTGCTAAAACATAGCAATGATAACATAATGTTGTTAATAAGATCAAGTTGTTAATGGGAGAAAACAACCTCGAAATGGAGAGGATGCTATCCAATAAAGGAGAAAGGTGGAAAAAGCAGTATGAGGTTTTTGGAAAGCTGACAAACACAGGGAATGTTAAAATGCCTCCTCCACTTGAAACACTTCTTTGTTCAGGCTGTGCCTATTTTGTGGTCAGTAGGGAGTATGTGGGGTATGTACTTCAGGATTAAAAAAATCCAAAAGTTTATGGAGTGAGCACAAGACACATACAGCCCTGATGAGCATCTCTGAGCCACCATCCAGAGTATTCCTGAAGTCCCCGGCTCACTCTCTACAAGCCATAAGTATGACTTGTCTGACACGCATGCAGTCGCCAGGTTTGTCAAGTGGCAGTACTTGGAGGGTGATGTTTCTGAGGATGCTCCCTACCCACCCTACGATGGGGACCACGTGCACTTGGTGTGCATTTTCAGAGCTGGTGACTTGAAATGGATGCTGTGCAAGCACCACTTGTTTGCCAATAAGCTTGACATCGACGACCTCTTTGCCATCCAATGTTTGAATGATTATCTGAGACATGAAGCTTGGAGATGTTAGAAGATTGACCATTATTGGCAATTTTATGAATAATAAGAAGGATACCCAAAATGTACCCTCATCTGGATCCTCTTCCTTGTCAGTAAGCATCAGGAAAATGGTATGAGGTCCTATTTGGGGCAGGGACTCTAAGTCTACTTGTCAGAGAAGCTACATGGTTTCTGCAGAGCATCGTTGGCTAAAAAGGTGATATCATTAAATGTTCACCTAGAGTTAATGTGAGCGGGGAAAAAAGTAGCTTTGAGGCCAGAGCATGTAGCAAGGCATTCTGGAGAGAAGAGACCAGGGTAGCTGGGGAAGAGGTCAATGCATAAGGTCAGCCTCTTCGAAGAGCTCAGGGGCTTAGCAAAATAAGATTTGACCTGTGCTAAAACTATTTTGAGGATTTTTAATGTGACAGTTTTCCCAGTATGAATAGACTGACAGCAACAAATGATCATAAAGATACAATTAATCTGATATATTTGTTGAAATAAAAATGTGATTTTACTCTAAATGATTTTTGTAAATAATTTATTTTCTGCTCTAACACTGTATTGTGTAGTGTGTCTCTGTGTAAGAGGGAGTTTAAAATAAGGTTGATTTGAAAACAATGAAATAAAAAAGAAAAGAAAAGAAAATTAGGGTATGTTCAGTTTAAACTTCCAATCATGTCATCCAAGTCTGGAATTTTCATCAGAACAACAATATAAAAAAATAAAGGGATGGATTTAAAACACATACAAATCATAAATAATAATGAAAACATTTTTAAAAATTTTGTTTCCAATTCATCATAATACACATTAGTGAGGGAACTATTCACTGTTACCACTATTATTTAATGATAGAAATAATATTTTAAGACTAAAAGGGCACAAAAGTCATTAAATCGGAATAAAATCAATTTCTTTCCAAGTCAAATCAATTGTTGACCTTATAACATCTGATATTCATGAATATATTCATTTTCATTTTTAAAATTTATCATTAAACTAAGCACAGTGTCTCCTAGGGAAGTAGTCACAGTAGCCTAAGGGAACTAATATTCATAAACTCCGTCTTTTAAATTAGATGGATCTCATATCTATAAGTAGTATACAGAGAGTTGAACTCTTTAGAGATTCCAGTATTTAGAGATTAAGTTATTTAGAGATTAGGTTTGAGGTTTTAATGTAACACCAAACAGTATAGTTTGTAGATGTGATAGAAGTCGTAGGCCTTTGTTATATCTCTAATTGGCCAAACCAGAGAGAAATAGAATGCATGCTGAGATAAATGTAATCACTCACAAAGCAGTTTCTTGCTTAAATCATTTTGTTTAAAAGACACTCACCAGGGGAAAAACGAAACTATAATTTTGCTAATTGAACTCTGAACCTAAAATATAGCAACAGAAGAGAAGAAACAATTCAAGACTGGAATGATCGGATCAAGTTAAATAGCAGTTTAATTTCCCTTCTAGAGAAACGCATATTCAGGCAATATTTTTACCCCTGTTACCCTCCCCCACCAAAAAAAGATGAAGAAGAAGAAAAAGAAGGAAAAGAGGAAGGAGAAAACAAGAAACAGTTAAGGTGCTTTGGCCTGCTTCTGAGCACACATGAATCCAGTAACATTAAAAAGGAGACATTCTGATTTTCTGGGAAAGCAGTGGAAACTAGTACATTTATTATTTCTGCTAAATTTATAGTCAGATTCCCTTTGCTGAGCCTTTGGGCATATTTATAATCTAAAACCGTATTCTACAAAAGAGTGATGCTTGTTTTAGGAGCACTTACACACAAAACAAATTGCTATAACATAAAAGCAGAATACTTGCTCGATTACTAACTTGTCCTAATATGCTAAAAACACCCCCCCCCCACACACACAAACTTGGTTTAAAATATTAATAGTTCATATCATGGTTTAGGAAAAGATATTACAGATTTAGACGCAATTTTATACCCCTTTTGGAACATGAGCAATTTTAAGATAAAGATGCATAAAAAGTCTTGAAGGAAAACATTGATACTTAGAGCTATGGCTATTGAAATCTTTATTCTTTATATTTTAAAATTTTTGCATGATCATTCTTTACTAGAAGTGAGTAGAAAGACACTGGATATAACACATCCATTTAAAGAGAGATATGTAAAGATAATGAATAGTAAGAGTGATGACAATACTTGAAAGACTTTTCAGCTTTTCTAATACCAGGCCAAACAACATATTTTCATCCACTAGTTGGGTTGCAGTAATACATTTAAATGTTTTTAGAATTATGTCTCTGGTGATGCCTGAACATATGAAAGTATTTACAGAGGTTAATTTGGGACTACATTAGTGAGGCAATTTTCTAGCTATAATTTATGTTAGTTGTTCCTTTTAGATAGTGAGGCAATCAGGTTGTCTTTGCAATAAAGAAAATTTTAGGTCTTCTTGCAAATTATACACACAGCTACATTCTTTGATGATTACTGTGTAGATGCTGCTGAACAATAGAAAAGAAAACTTGGGATAATAACAGTAATCCAGTATGTTTCCCGTTATCTGGACATAGTTTTTAACTGTCTAATTTACCTAAATTATCTCATGATGTCCCTGTAAATTGAAGATACAATCTCATTCTCACCATTCCATTAACTGCCTATAATCTTTGAATTTGTTTACACTTTATCTAGTTTCCTCCTGGGCTGCCTCCTCACCTCAGCCTACACATTCTGGAACAGCTTCAGGCTTATTTCTATGATGTAGGAAGTTATTAGAATATGTTAATTTACTTGACTGAGATGACTTTAAATTAAGCCCTTATAATATCCTGCCTTCCAGGCTGTCCACCACTATGTAATATCTGGAACAAGATATTAGTTTGTGCTCAAATAGTTATTCAGAAAAAAAAAGAAAAGGATGTTATGGCTTTTTCTCATAACTGCAGTCATATTCACTTATCCGTTCTATAATTTAAATAAAATCAGTGGTAGCTAACTTAGTGAACGCATCTGGGGCAGGCAACTTCCCACACACTTTGCATGCTCTATGCTTAACCCGTTTTTTTATAGATGAGGGCTGACTGGTTGAGTAGCTTTTACAATGTTATGGGTCTAATCAGGGACTCAGACCTGGGTACTCCCCAAGCCGCCTGTCTCTGGGCCAATGCTTTCAGCCTTTGTAATACGCAGGCTTTTAAATGTTACCACAGGTAGAAAGATGGACAAATGTTCCATGTTTTAATGCCATTTCTCTGTCTTGCAATCTCCTTTTTTTAATATTAATATCATTTTGTAAATATGATTCTAGAGAAATATGGGTAAAGGCTTGGATTTATTCCTTTGAGAAATGTGGAGTGATGATAACAGTTTTTAAGAAGTAAGGTTTCGTAAAGCAAACTCTGCTAGAGTATGGAGAAAAAGATTGAAAAACATCTTTCCCTTGGCACAAATGATATTTACCATGTCTCTACTCCCAATTCTCACTTCCAGTATCTCTCTCTCTCTCTCAGTTATCAATTCTCTCCCCACTGAACTACTTTCTGTTTCCCTAAGACGCAAGGACCATCGCCTCCTTGGAGATCTACATAGGATTTTTTTCTGCCCTCCCCAGTAGCATACCTGCAACTTTCTTGGCTATGTGGCCTTCAGGAATTTGCTTAACGGCAATTTCCTCCGATTCTAGTTCTTTCAGTGTTAAGGCTGGGTTGAAGATACTGCTTAGTGCACAAAACTCTACGGAACATAACTGTACAGTAATTGCCTTTTAACTTGTCTATTTCTCCATATATTTAAGGGCATTGGATACCTCTTATTCATCTCAATTTATGATTAATGTGCTATTCAAAATATCAAATGGTGTTAGGACAGGCATTTGTGGTCCCAACACCAACATGAAGGTTGCCTCTTTACCCCTTTCACCTTCCATGGTCTTTTCCTCTCTGGACAGGGTAGGGTTTGGGAAGTATGTGCAGAGTGGCTCTGTGGATTGTGAGAAAGGTGCCAGGGGTGATGTTCAGAAGCCAGGTAGTGAGAACTTCAAAGCAGGACTGCGCATGGCCATCATGCAACCAGAAAGTCTTCAGATATCAGCACTGAATGAAGCAGGGTTCAAGAACCCCTGTTATAATAGGCGTTAACTTTTAGGTTTGTATATCCTGAGAACACAGAAGATTCCTGGGGAACACAAAGTGAGATGGGGCCCTTGGGGGCCTCTGGGAAGTAGTTGTTTACCAAATGTAAAGAAGTGTTTCAGGCCAGGCTTGGTGGCTCATGCGGTGGTCATGTCCAGCACTTTGGGAGGCTGAGGTGGGAGGATCACTTGAGCCCAGGAATTTCAGACCAGCCTGTAGAAACCCTGCACTGATAAAAATAAATAAACAAGCAAATAAATAAATATAATATAAAAAAAAATAAGGCCAGGCGCAGTGGCTCATGCCTGTAATCCCAGCACTTTGGGAGGCTGAGGCAGGCGGATCGCTTGAGGTCAGGTGTTCAAGACCAGTCTGGCCAAAATGATGAAACCCTGTCTCTACTAAAAATACGAAAATTAGAAAGGAGTGGTGGCACACACCTGTAATCCCAGCTACTTGGGAGGCTGAGGGATGTGAATCCCTTGAACCCAGGAGGCAGACGTTGTAGTGATCCGAGATCGCAACAGTGCACTCCTGCCTAGGAGATAGAGCGAGACTCTGTCTCAAATAAATAAATAAATAAAAGAACTAGCCAGGCATGATGACACATGCCTCTGGTTTCACCCACTTGGGAGGCTGATGTGGAAGGATTGCTTGAGCACAGGAGATGGAGGCTGCAGAGAGCCATGGTCACACCACTGCCCTCCAGCTTGGGTGATAGAGTAAGAACCTGTCTCAAAAAAAAAAAAAATGTTTCAAACCACAACTGCATAGCAATTTTGCTTATATCCTCAGCCCAGAGTACACAAAAGGTGATCAGCTTTATGAAAGGATGGAAAAGTGGTTGAAAATGATGAAGAAATACAATAAGGGTTGGGGAAGGAGGATATATTTATTTTACCAAATTCCAAGAAATATAGGAAAAAAAGTGTCTGTATCAAATGCTTAAGCACACAGTCCACACAAGCACACCACACACTGGGTGAGGGATCTATTTCTCCCTCCTTGCATTCATGTAAAACGTTGTTAGTGTCATGAAATCCTATTCTCTTTCTACCTGCTGTCCTAGATAGAGCTGGCCAATATTTCACTCATTATGAATGAACATAAAATTTTCTTCAGAATTTTACAGATGCAGAAACCAAAATTTAAGTTTAATTTTACCTGAAAGCAAAATATATAAAATCAAGTCTGCATTGAGTGCTTTTCTCTGTGGTTGCAAACACACTTTCACATATTGGGAATGTGAAGAAGCCTTGGGTGTTAGAACACTCATCTCTGATAACATAATAAACATCACAAAGTACACTCATTCTAGGGCTCGTGTTTCTGGCCTATCAAATGCTAACAGGTATGGAAGCACTTCAAGTATAGTCATGGAAACCCACAATATGATTCCGTGACTATACCTGATAGCATTTGAGTTAAGAGGAAGAGAAGGAAAGTTAAGTCAGTCTCCTGAAGGCAAGCGTAGGAACCTAAGATAGAGGCTTTTTAAGGAAAAAGTCTGGGAACACATATAATAGAAATCCATCTTATGGAATTTGAGAAAGATACAGTTTATCAATATTGAGTCATTAATTTATTACATAATTAAGAGAGCCTACTATATGTGGAAGGTACAGATTAATAAGTTTGATAGGTTGCTGATTCCATAAAATCTACCTTTATAAAACATTGTAAGCATGGTGCTAAACAGATAAATGGCACAGTGTAAGGGAGTGTTATGGTACGTGAAGGCATGTTATGGAAAAAAATAAAGGAATAGACAAATGAATGCTGAAATTGAAGACGGTGATGAATTTTAGATAAGAGGTTTAAGAAATACTCTCAGTAGGTCAGGAGTTCGAGACAAGCCTGGTCAACATGGTGAAACCCCGTCTCTACTAGAAATACAAAAATTAGCCAGGTGTGGTGGTGCGTACCTGTAATCCCAGCTACTCGTGAGGCTGACACAGGAGAACCACTTGAACCCAGGAGGCAGAGGTTGCAGTGAGCTGAGATCACGCCACTGCACTCCAGCCTAGGAGACAGAGCGAGACTCCATCTCAAAAAAAAAAAAAAAAAAAAAAAAGAGAGAGAGACAGAGAAAAGTATCCATGAAAAAGACTTAAGGTAAAGATTATAAAGAATGTGCCAAATATTGCACAGGAGACCACAGCAAATAAGTCTTTTGCACTCCAAGAAGAGTCAGTGTTCAACACCATTTAGCGTGACACTTCATTGGAAGGAAGCTAGTTCCTTCCAGAGGTAAACTCTGTTTCAGCAGGTTAGAGGGGGCATACTGTGTGTCTTATAGTCTATATTGATCCTCTACAGTCCAATATATCAATTTCATATTGTGGATTTCTGGGAGAGGAGACATAATCTCCAAATTCAAGAAGCTTATCTAATACTTTGTTAACCAAGTATCTTAAGAAATAAACACGAAAACTGTAAGAAAAAAAATACACAAATACATGTCATACAGCATATGCAATATTCAATAGTACACTTAAAAGATCAATATAATTTTACCACTAAAATGGACCTGAATAATTGAAACTAAAATTTTAATTTTAGACATGGTTGCTTTCTTTTAGAAAGGCAATTAGAGTTAATACATACCCATCTCCCCCCTAACCACATGCTAAATAATTCTGGTTATTATTTTTTGTGTGTGTGCTTTTAAACATTTATTTTACATTTTGTGGATCTGAGCAATATTTTTTATATACATATTGTTAAATAAACTGTAATGCAATTAATTTATTCAATTTGGGGAAGTGTTCTCGAAAACTGAACTCACAACACTCAAGTTTTACCTTAAAACTCTGAGAAAGTCTGAAAGACCTGAAAAGTTAGATTTTAAAAAATGAGATAGGTATGATTTATGTATATAAATTCACTGAGTAAAAAGAGGAAAATGTTGCAAAAATTTGTCAAATGTTCTAAGGACAACTCCAACTTTTGTATAGAGGAGCAACAAAAAACAAGTTTAAGTGACTCATACAGGAATATTTACCTGCTTGTTAGCACAAGTTCCTCAAGTACTGCTGCAAATTTAAAGAATTTTGCACATCATCAAAATGGGACATTTATTGAATCTTGGAGAGGGATGTTTTGCATTTAGGCAAAATAAACATGGCAATTTTGAGCTATTTTCATTACTCAATTTTTTAAAATACAAAGCATTTCAGTTTCCCAAACTATGTGGAATCACTTGAGGGTGGCATAAAATAGATTAATGCTTGCTGACATCTGAAGGATGTAAAACAGTTGTTTCATCTGCTGTGTCTCTGAGAGATGAATGAGGGCAACCTTTAGATCTACTTCTGGATTTGTCTAAAGGTGCTTTTAATAGAACACTCAATAGAATATAGAACTATTTATACTTTTGTTCTTTCAGAATAAGTGAGGTAAAGAATTCATTTAGAAATCAGATAAGAAGAAGAAAATTATGAGTTTTAGCCCTTTCAGTATTCAACCAAAAGATAGGGTTGTTTTTTGTCATATGTTAATATAGAAACAGAATTGATGTTAGCCTGAGACTTCTATAAATCCAATATACCAAGCTTTGCTTTTTAGACAGTTTTAAAATGAGTTCAGAGGGAAGATTTGAAAACCTTCTTACTGTCTGAAAAAAAAAATTAATCCTGGGGGAAAAGAAATTAGAGGAAAATGGAGCCCTACATATGAAAATTACCTTCCACTAACTGCTTTTGTGAAAGAAATAAAATAAGTAATTTCATTGCATTTAAGTAATGAAGAGAGACAGCCTTTGATACAATTAACTAATGCTGGTAAATTTCTGTCAAATGAATATTCAAAGATGAAAAATATTGACCCACCAGTAGTCAATACTAAAAATACTAAAAAATTTTTAGTATTAAATTTTAAGGAAAATTTAAGGCTTTTTATTCCTTCACATTATCGGTACCTTTCAGCAACTTTATTTTGTCCAGTTAGTTGAAATCTTAGGGCAAGGTAAGATCTCATATAACTTTTTTTTGAGTTAGCTCCTCTGAGAAATGAGCCATGTTTACTTGTAAAGACTCAAGTACAAACAAACCTTATTTTAGTGCACTTTGCAGATATTGTGTTGTTTTTACAAACTGAAGGTTTGTGACAACCCTACATTGAGTAAGTCTGTCAGCGCCATTTTTCCAACAGCATATGCTTACTTTATGTCTCTGTGTCACATTTTGATAATTCTTGCAATATTTCAAACTTTTTAAATACTATTATATATGTTATAGTGATATCTGTTCAGTGATTTTTGATGTTACTGTTGTAATAGTTTTGTAGTGCCATGAACCATGCCCACGGTATGGCAAACTTAATCAATTAATGTTATGTGTTCCGATTGCCCCCACCACATGGCTTTTTCCTTGTCTCTCTCCCTCTCCCTGGGTCTTCCTATTCCCTGAGACATAACAACATTGACATTAGGTCAGTTAATAACCCTACAGTAATCTCTAAGTGTTCAAGTCAAAGTAAGAGTTGCATGTCTCTCACTTTAAATGAAAAGTTAGAAATGATTGCCGGGCACGTTGGCTCATGCCTGTAATCCCAGCACTTTGGGAGGCCAAGGCGGGTGGAACACCTGAGGTCAGGAATTCGAGACCAGCCTGACCAACATAGAGAAACCCCCGTATCTACCAAAAATACAAAATTAGTCTGGCGTTGTGGCGCATGCCTGTAATCCCAGCTATTCAGGATGCTGAGGCAGGAGAATCACTTTAACTCAGGAGGCGGAGGTTGCAGTGAGCCAAGATCACACCTTTGCGCTCCAGCCTGAGCAACAAGAGTGAAATTCCGTTTCCAAAAAAAAAAAGAAAAGTTAGAGATGATTAAGCTTAGTGAGGAAGGCATGACAAAAGTTGAGATAGACTGAAAGTTACATCTCTTGCACTAGTTAGCCAAGTTGTAAATGCAAAGGAAAAGTTCTCGGAGGAAATTAAAAGTACTACTGCAGTGAACACACAGAGGTTAATAAAGCCTTATTGTTGATATGGAGAAAGTTTGAGTGGTTTGGATAGATCAAAGCAGCCAAAACATACCCCTGCATAGAACCCTAATCCAGAGAAAGGCTCCACTGCTCCAATTCTTTGAAGGCTGAGAGAAGGAGGAAGCTACAGAAGAAATGTTTGAAACTAACAGTTTGGCTTACAAAGTTTAAGAAAATAAGCCATCTCTATAATATAAAACTGCAAAGTGAAGCAGCGAGTTCCTATGTAGAAGCTGCAGCAAATTTTCCAGGAGATACAGCAAGATAATTGATGAAGGTGGCTACACTAAACACTAGATTTTTAAGGTAGATGAAACAGTCTTATAAAGGAAGAAGATGTCACCTAGGATTTTCATAGCTAGAGAGAAGTCAATTCCTGGCTTCAAAATTTCAAAGGACAGACTGACTTTTATTAGGGGCTAATACAGCTGCTGACTTTAAGTTGAAGCCAATGCTCATTTATCATTTCAAATATCATTTCAAATTCACCCTTAAGAATTATGCTAAATCTACTCTGTGTAAGCTCTATAAATGGAAACTAAGCCTGGATGACAGCCACATCTGTTTACAGCATGGTTTACTGAGTATGTTAAGCCTACTGTTGAGACCTACTATCTATAAATGTTATTTTTTTTTTCAAAATATTACTGCTCATAGACATTGCATCTGGTCACCCAAGAGCTCTGAGGGAGATATACGCAGGGATTAATGTTATTTTTATACCTGTGAACACAGCATCCTTTCTGTAGCACATGGATAAAGGAGTAATTTTGAGTTTCGAATATTATGATTTAAGAAATACATTTCATGGCCGGGCACAGTGGCTCATGCCTGTAATCCCAGCACTTCAGGAGGCCGAGGCAGGAGGATCACTTGAGATCAGGAGTTCAAGACCAGCCTTACCAACACGGTGAAACCTAGTAAAAATACAAAAATTAGCCAGGTGTGGTGGTGGGCGCCTGTAATCCCAGCTGCTCGAGAGGCTGAGGCAGGAGAATCACTTGAACCTGGGAGGTGAAGGTTGCAGTGAGCCGAGATCACTCCACTGCACTCCAGCCTGGGCATCGCAGCGAGACTCGGTCTCAATAAATAAATAAATAAATAAATAAATAAATAAATAAAACGAAATACATTTCATAAGATTATACCTACTGCTATAGATACTAATCCCTATGATGGATCTCAGCATAGTAATTGAAAACCATTTGGAAAGGATTCACCATTGTTGATGTCATTAAGAATATTTGTGATTGATGGGAGGAGGTCAAAATATCAACCTTAACACAAGTTTGGAAGAAGTTGATTCCAACCCTTCTCGATGACTTAGAAGAGTTCAAGACTTTAGTAGAGGAAGTAACTGCAAGTATGGTAGATATAGCAAAAAAACTAGAGTTAGAAGTTTAGAAGTGGAGCCTGAAGATTGGACTAAATTGCTGTAACTCATGGTAAAACTTTAATGGATGAGGAGTTGCTTCTTAATGGATAATCTAATAAAATGGTTTCTGGAAATGAAATCTACTCCTAGTAAGATGCTGTAAACATTGTGAAACGACAACAAAGGATTTAGAATATGTCCTAAGCGTAGTTGATAGAGCAGTATCAGGATTTGAGGTGTGCGAGACCATTCTTGTGTTGCTATAAAGAAATACCTGAGACTGGGTAACTTATAATGAAAAGAGGTTTAATTGGCTCATGGTTCTGCAGGCTGTACAGGAAGCATGGCATCAGCATCTGCTCAGCTTCTGGGGAGGCCTCAAGGAGTTTTTACTCATGGCAGAAATTGAGGCAAGAGCAAGCATGTCACATGGTGAAAGCAGGAGTGAAAGAGAGTGGTGGTGTGGGGTGCCACACACTTAATCAGATCTCAAGAATACTTACTATTGCAAGAACAGCACCAAGCCATGATGGATCCACCCCCTTCACCCAACCACTACCCATAAGGCTCTGCCTTCATCACTGAGAACTAGATTTCAACATGAGATTTGGGGAGGGACATATATCCAAACTCTATCAGAGAGGATTGACTACAATTTTGAAAGAAGTTCTACTGTGGATCAAATGCTATTGAACAGTATCATATGCTACAGAGAAATTTTTAGTGAAAGAAAGAGTCAATGGATGTGACAAACTGTACTGTTGTCTTATTTTAAGAAATTGTCACAGCTGCGACAACCTTTAGCAACCACATCGCTTGTCAGCAGCCATCCACATCAAGACAAGACCCTCCACTAGCAAAAAGATTAACAGATTACCACTCGCTGAAAGCTCAAATGAGCATTAGCATTTTTAGCAGTAAATCATTTTTAATTAAGGTATGTGCATTTTTTTAGTCATCATACTATCGCACACATAAAAGACTAGTGTAAACATAATTTTAATATGAACTAGGAAACCAAAAAATGTATGTGGCTCACTTTGTTATGATATTTGCTTTATTCTTATGGTCTGGAACCAAACCCACAATGTCTCCAAGCTGTGCCTGTATTTATTATTTAGTCACTTTTGTTTACCAAGACCCAGTGTTTTCTTACCATTTATTCATTTTTTAAAATCTATTTTTAAAGTAGTTGTCTTTAAAATTTCATATATATACGTCATTCTGTTGCCTACATCACTTAGGAGTTATTGAATTTGGGTGCAGATGTGTTTGCTATTTAACAGATAAAATTAAATGTTATGTCAGATTGTCGTTATTTCTTACAGGTATTTGAAGTAACTGTAGCTGAAGTCTAAATGCGCAGAGGCATCAAGTGTAGACATATAATTAATATCTCATTCTATCCTCATTCTTTTTCTACATATATATCAACCCCAACATGCTCATTTATTTATTTTAAATAATCATATACTTTTTATAAGCACTGAGCTAGACATGCAAATGACAGATTGGGTCTTAGATAAATACAGTAAGTTCTCATTGCATCTTATGCTGCTCATCTTATGCTATGGCATTATACTCCCATTAGTGTAGAATTTCAGGCATTCTAAGGCCTAAAAGAATTTATGCAAGTTTCTGACTCATAACAATCTAGAATAAAATCCAGTTCTTAGGTTTTCCAGTGCCTTAGTAAAAAGTCAAAGTCTTCTATATGAAACTGTTTAACAATTACATATTAAATTACATAGAAATCAAATATCTTGCTAAATTGTGTGTGTTGTAAACACTGAAGAAGTCACACAGTGATAGTGTATATTGAGGAATGAGGAACTATTGTTCCCATAAGGTTACCATAGGTACACACTGGGATTGACCAGGGCAAAAATAAGTCAAAATATGCTATATGGACAGGTGTGTTAAGAAATGTTTTATCTGTACGTCAGTGTGCTGATCCTACATCTACATCTGTTCAAATATACACAAATATTTACCAGTCACCATTTGCCATTCAATAGCTAATCCAAATCATTGCAAATAGGATGTACTCAATCAATGATGCCAAAGTAAATTTAGTCACATTCTTCCTCTGCTCTTTTAAAGAGGAAAATATAAAGCTTTGTTTTACACTAGTTCAGTTTGCCTGATTATTATAACAAAAGAGACCAAAATGGAGCAGAAAAAAATTATTGTCTTTCCACAAAGCACCATTTTGTCAAATACTTTTCTAGGACTTGAGAAATAATAGATATACTGTTACAAATTGCCCTAAACTACATGTGATTCTTGAAAGACACGGGAAAACTGGAAAGTACTGATTCAATGTAATAAGTTTCTTATACCCTGACATTGAGAGATAAGACCTGATGAGGGAGAGACGGCCATGCCCCTCAGGCTTCCTTAAAGCAGGTAACATTGCTTTGAAAATCTTCTGAAATAATATTTCTAGTTTTAGGATTTTCAAATTGGGTTTCCAGGTTAATTGTTACTTGCATTAAGTGGTACCTCTTTAGCATCTTTTATGGACAATGGTTGAAAGTGGATCTAATACAATGTGGCTAACTCCAAACCTTGGGATAATGGTGTGAACTGAGGCATTTTCAGGAAGTTACTTTGATGCGTAGCTGCTATAAGTAGCTTGAAGATGACTATTCTTCAATATTACCACAAGTATATTAAAACATCCGAGGAGTTATAAGAATAGTTAAGGCATAGGACCATACTTCCTAGACTGAGTAACTTTTTTGCAATTACTTCACTTAGTGCCTTAGCCACCTCTCATTTGTGGTGACATCGTTTATTTGTTTGTCCCAAAACCAAATGGGTAATGTCATAGGAGTATTTTCAGAAGCCTTTCTTACTTACAAAATCTCTATAGAATGTACAGCACATGATTGAATGTTATGCATTTGAATGTCACTTGTCAAGTATATTATGAAAAACAGCGACCATAGCAATGAGACATAGAGATCACAGTATCATCCTGTTTAGTAATGTTATTATTGTTTTCCTAGTTTTGGGTCTAAACTGGTTATTACTTTAACATTATGAGTGACATGTAAGTACCTCATAATGTACTACGTCAGGACCCAATTCCGGACGCTAACCAGCATTTTTGTTTCTCAATAAACCAAGGACAACAAAAGCGAAAACTGAGAAGAAAGATTCTAGGAAGATTCATTCATTGTTTATGCCAATCACAGCCAAGTGCATGCTACAAAATGAATAATTAAAAGACACATAGTAGCTGGGCGCGGTGGCTCATACCTGTAATCCCAGCACTTTGGGAGCTGAGGCGGTGGATCACCTGAGGTCAGGAGTTCAAGACCAGCCTGGCCAACATGGTGAAACTGCGTCTCTACTAAAAATACAAAAAGTTTAGCTGAGCTTGGTGGTGCATGCCTGAAATCCCAGCTACTCAGGAGGCTGAAGCAGGAGAATCACTTGAATCTGGGAGGTGGAGGTTGCAGTGAGTGGAGATTGTGCCACTGCACTCCAGCCTCAGCAACAGAGTGAGACTCCATCTCAAAAAAAAAAAAAAGAAAGAAAAAAGAACAACAAAAAAAAGGACACATAGTGACTTTGTACAAGAATCTCAGGTATTTACTTTAATATGTATGCCTGGTGACAGGCCCTTACGATATATTCTTTTGTGTGTGTGCTTTTTTAAATACCAAGTAATTAATCTAGTCTTAGATTTGAATGGAATCTGTAACATACTTCAGACATCAATTCACTCAATTCACAAATAGGGAAAATTATACAGGCTAATAAATTGTTTTAAAGTGGCGGAAATTTAGAAATCGGCTTCCATGGTTGCTTGGATCCAAGATCTCATCTTTTCTTGGTGTATTTTGTATTGTTTAAGCTCTATTACTTCTTATGGCTTCATAGAATTTTGTTGTTTTTTGTGTCCTGATAAAAAATAAAATGTAATTTAAAATACATATAAAATAACAAAAATGTTAGTTTCAGTGTAGAAAAATGTAGGAGACTACAGATCACAGCAAACTCTGTGAAATACCCTCCTTTTTTGTTGCTATCTGCCTGTCCTTGACATGGCTTTTACTGTCTCTGAGGCACTGAATCAATATGTTGTCATATTGAGTTATAATATTATAGGCAAATACCCCCAAGAGGATTTTGCACACAATAAGGGCTCTTTGTGACTTCTCTTACTTCTCTTTCTTTTCCAAAGCAAAGAAAGGTTGCATATGTTGGGCAGCAAATGATTGCATATAATTTATGTTTTGGAGAACAGCTAATTCCTGAAGTATTCCTGACCTACAATTCAGCCTTACAGGAAATGAGTTAATTGTAAAAATATATAAATATAGAGAGAGTTCAGTTTCAAAGATATTTTGAACACACCTTGTTGAAAATGTCTGCTATAGGAGAAAAGAGAACCTTATTACCCTGTTGGTGGAAATGTAAGTTAGTATAGCCACTATGGAGAAGACTATGGAGATTCCTCAAAAACTAAACCTAGAACTATCATATGACCCAGCAATCCTACTGCTAGGTATATACTGAAAAGAAAGGAAATCAAAGCCAGGCGTGGTAGCTCATGCCTATAATCCCAGCACTTTGGGAGGCAGGGGCAGGTGGATCACAAGGTTAAGAAATCTAGACCATCTTGGCCAACGTGGTGAAACCCCATCTCTTCTAAGAATACAAAAATCAGCTGGGCATGGTGGCACTCACCTGTAGTCCCAGCTACTAGGGAGGCTGAGGCAGGACAGTCACTTAAACCCAGGATGTGGAGGTGCAGTGACCCGAGATTGCTCCACTGCACTCCAGCCAGGTGACAGAGTGAGACTGTCTCAAAAAACAAACAAACAAAAAACAAAGAAAAAAAGGTAATCAGTATATCTGATTTTCATAACTTCATCAAGAGAAGAGATATCTGCACTCCCATGTTTCTTGCAGCACTATTCACTATAACCAAGATTCAGAAGCTACTTAAATGTCCATCATTAAAAGAAGAGATGAATAAATTTTACATCAGAATGCATAAAAAGCACACAGTGAAACAAAGTTAAATACAACAAATCAAAGGAAAATAAATGCATTATATAAAGAAGTCCAAAGATGAGTATCTAGAGTAATTAGATCTATGTAAGTAATAGAAAACAAATCAAAAATCAAAATAACAAACCAATAAGAAAAATGAACAAACGTGTAAGCAAGAAAATCGCATAAGTAAAAAATTTAAAAGAAAGAAAATATTTTCAGGCACACACAAAAAGAGGAAATGCAAATTAAAATATTACAATTATTACAAATCAGATAAGAACAATAATAATGTTTGGTAATATCAAATATTAAAAATGTGGTGGTAAAGTGAACACTCTCAAAATGAACTGGTGGCAATGAATATTCATAAGTCACATTGGAGGGAAACTTGATTACATTTGTTGATATATAAAATACACTTGATCAAAGGCCACTTCCTAGTTCATACGATAGAGAAATAGTTACACAGATATTGTACATGTCCAGCCAAGTTAGAACTCCAAAATAGTTTCAGGTAAGAATGTGAGTTGCAGTAAAGTATGTACGATATGACACCATTTACTGAAAGCTAATGAAGAATTCAGAACTATATTTTTATAAGACAATAATGAAAAATGATCAGCAGCAAAATGATCAGAAAATTGATAGCTTCTAGAGAACGGTGTGGTTGGGGGTTGGCAGTTAGAATAAACGGAATTGGTTGTAGTTTTTTTAAGGCTATAGATTCATCTTTCATTTATATAATCGATATGTTTTGGCTCTGTGTCTCCAATAAAATCTCATCTTGTAGCTCCCATAATTCCCATGTGTTGTGGGAGGGACCTGGTGGGAGATGCTTGAATCATGGGGGTAGGTCTTTCTCATGCTGTACTCTAGTGAATGGGTCTCACAAGATCTGATGATTTTAAAAATGGGAGTTTCTCTGCACAAGCCCTCTCTTTGCCTGCTGCCATCCACATAAGATGTTACTTGCTCCTCCTTGCCTTACACCATGATCGTGGGGCCTCCCCAGCCATGTTGAACCATGAGTCCAATGAACCTCTTTTGTAAATTGCCCAGTCTTGGGTATGTCTTTATCAACAGTGTGAAAACAGATTAATACAATATTTAAATAAAATAAGACAATATCCATGAAAAGGAATAAAAATAATAAGGAAGTAGAATTTCTAGAATATGGGAGAGTGGTAAATTTTAGATTAAATTATGAGTGTATATTCTATCCCATTCTGTGAGAGAGGTAACCTACAGAATGGGAGAAAATATTTGCAAACTACCCACCTGACAGGAGATTAACAACCAGAATATATAAGAAGCTCAAACAACTCAATAGGAAAAATACAATTGGATTTTTAAAATGGGCAAAAAAGCTGCATAGACATTTCTCAGAAGAATTCATAAAAATGCCAAACAGGTATTTGAAAAATTACTCAACATCACTGATCATCAGAGAAATGCAAATCAAAAAGACAATGAGATTTTATCTCACCTCAGTTAAAATAACTTTTATCAAAAAGACAGATAAATACAGGTGCTGGCTAGGATGTGAGAGAATACATTTTCTTTTGTAGTAGCCCAATTTTATCATCCTGGCCACAACATGACTCTGTTCCTTGATTCCGTCTGCTAGATTTATTTGAGCTTAGGTTTTCCTCCTATTATTTGAAGAAAAAAATTTACATATATATATATAAATATATAAATCTATATATATTTAAATATATCAATATATAAATTTATGCATTTAAATATAGAAATATATATTTGCATATATAAATATTCAAATTTATATTTAAATAAACATGCATTATATAAAATATAAATATTTAAAAATATAAATTTAGATGTTGATATATGTGCATATATTTCTATATTTAAATATATAAATTTAAATTTATAAAAATATATAGACTATAAGAGATCATTTATGAGATTTTTCAAATAATTTCATAACATAATAGATTATAAAATAATTATCTTCTATGTTCTGTTTTGTCTCTCTTTCTTCCAAGGTCAAGTTTTTTGTTTGCATATTTAGCATTTTGTTGTATTCTTTCATTAGATATTCACATTAAGAGTGAAAGTCTTCATAACTGACTCATCTTCCTTCTGTTGATAAAGTAAAAGTGATTTCCTTTTTGATTTCTTTTTTTCTGCCTCTTATTTTCATAAGAAAAAAAAAATCCCTTCCAGTTTTCAATTTCAAGAAAGCTGACAACCTCCCATTTTCTTTTCTGATATGGGCTTTTCTTTTGTAGAAAATCCATATATTTATTTTATTGCTTATTAGGAGAGACAAAGGAGAGACAAAGGCAAATGATTTTTAGACAGAAAGTGGCGATTGCCCACGCCAATTTCATTTTGTATTTTTTTAAATTCCTAGCAGTTTTGTTTTTCCATTATAATCTCTATGTATGTTTTTTTTTGTTTGTTTGTTTTTTGTTTTTGTTTTTGAGACGGAGTCTCGCTCTGTCGCCCAGGCTGGAGTGCAGTGGCGGGATCTCGGCTCACTGCCAGCTCCACCTCCCGGGTTCACGCCATTCTCCTGCCTCAGCCTCCCAAGTAGCTGGGACTACAGGCGCCCGCCACTACGCCCGGCTAATTTTTTGTATTTTTAGTAGAGACGGGGTTTCACCGTTTTAGCTGGGATGGTCTCGATCTCCTGACCTCATGATCCGCCCGCCTCGGCCTCCCAAAGTGCTGGGATTACAGGCGTGAGCCACCGCGCCCGGCCTCTATGTATGTTTAAATTACATTGATGAAAACATTTTTATACACTGTATATTCTTATAAATTGTGGAACACAGTATTTCCTTAATTATCTTCAATAAGAAGATTAATCCATGCATGTTTCATCCAAAAAAAGGTTTCTATTTAATAGATACTTAATATTCATCATTCATGAGAGTATATACCAGGATTAAAGGGTGAATCAAGTCCAGTTTTACCAGAGCTAACACAGTAGTAATTCTTATGAAGTACTTGACAGACTGCTAACTTGAAATTTTGCACTCTCTATGCAATTTAGAGATCCTACATTCCAGATTCTATTTAGCTCCCTCTTGACTTCAGTTTCCTCTGGCAAAAAATGCTGCCCTCGCCTTTCTATATAACTCACTTAACACAAAGTTGAAAGTGAATTTTTGCCTGAATGTATTAGATAGCTTTCATATTCTGGGAATCCTCATTTATAATGTGAAATCCCCACCAGGCCAAAGATAGGATGAAGAAATAGATCCAGCTCCCTTAGGTGGAAAAAAAAATACAGATTTTATTGTCTTTTTTGAGATCTAATTCTGCCTTTAATCAGAATTAATTTGTTTTAATTATATGCAATTATAATTATTTCAAATTAAATTATAATGAATTATAATCAATTGTTAGGTTAGAATATTCACCACTTACCTGATGGAAGGAAAATGGAATATTTGAATAATAAGGATTGTGCCTATATATGGGTAAGGACAAAACTTTTTTTAATTGAGTGGCCTTTGTCTAAGTTATTTATTATATTTATGCTCTTAGTCCAGTTATAACACTGTCTTATGCCATTTGAAAGTTGAATGTCTCCAAATATGACAGCTTTACTGAAGTCACTTTGAAACCCAAAAACATTGTAGAAAATATTGACAAAATAATAGTTTTGAACAATAGTTCAAAACCTTTATTTTTCAACTAAAACTGCCCAGGAATTGAAAGTAAATATGCTTTAATCAATTTCATGTTATCTTCATTTTTAAATGTAAAAGAGGGATTTGTGATGTGGCAAAGAGCAAAATATAGTGTTACCACCTTTTTTGTCTCTTTCTGTAACAGAATATTAAGTAGTCCCAACCTTCTGTGCTCTAGGTTGAAGACTACCAATTATGCACAAAATAGCATTCTACTCTAGTAAGCATACAATTCATCTTGCTTTTGTTAAACTAAAGAAAGCAATTTTCTGATCCTTAGAAGTTTCACAATGTTATATAAGATGTAGCAAAATACAACTTGTTAAGGCACATTAATATAAAATAAATTAAATACCTTTGTAAGGTGGTTAGTCCAAAACTTGACGATCTGTGCAGTACATCTCATCCTTTTCTCAGTCTCCTTACTTTAAGACAATTCTTGGTGGAAATGATTTTTTTATTACCTTTATTTTTTGTAAAATTTTAAATATTGCAAATATTTAAAAATTTAAATATCTTCTTAGGTAATTGAAAAATTGCAATACCTTTTTGCTGTTAATATTTTTGCTTTCAACATTTTGTTAATTTTATGGTGAGTAGGAGAAAACTGTTCCAATTAAGTCTATATAAATAAAGAAAACTGAGATACAGTAAGCACCTCTTATCTGAAGGGATAGGTTTCAAGAGCCCCAGTGAATGCCTAAAAACTCTCATACTTGAGAGAGCTACCAAATGACTAATGAACAGATAGCACGCAGCGTGGATACACTGGATACAGGAATGATTCACATGCCTGGAGGATGAAGCAGGTCAGCAGGAGATTTCATCATGCTTCCAAGAATGGTGCACAATTGAAAACTTACGAAATTGCTTATTTCAGAATTTTCCCAATTAATATTTTTGGACTGATGTTGTCCATGAGTAACTGAAACCTTGAAACCATGAATGAAAGTGAACTGCCATCATTTTAAAGACATCTTCATCAAAAATACCTTAATACACAGATATAATCTCAATAAATAGAGCTTTTTATTGGCAATGACCATGGATAATAAAAAGTTGATGCACAAATTGATTGGTCCTTTCAGATTCAGCTTTCTGAGTAAAATCTCAAAGGCTCCACTTAATGCAAGGTAAAGGACTAAAGGGCATTGCTTCAAGTGACAAAATAAAACAAAGTCTTTCTCTGATTGGAGCTAAGGGAACTTTATGGATTACATCATGTATGACATAATATATTCATTTTCAAAGCCACTTTAATTCATAACCTAAATATGCTTCATAATTTAAGGCAAATAACACTTAATGAGAAACTGCCAGAAACTATAATAAGATACTGGTGACAACCGTTAGCCTTGCTTGTCTTTAAGATTTTTTTGTGTGTGATTATAGACCCAGCTGTCTTAACTTTCATACAGTTAAAATTTGAAGAAGTACTCAGAGAAAAACATGAAAATTGATCCTTGTTACATATTACAAACAATTAAAAAGAGATAAAAAGTAACATCATCAAACTCTTCTCCTCTTTGTCTTGCTGGTTCTTATTTTATTATTAATTTATATTTTTTGAAAGATTCATAGCACTCTTCCAAAATGGCTTACATAATTTTGTATAGAAAATGTGCATATGTTGGTGTATTTCTGATGTATGTTCATGAAGTAAAATACAATGTAGTCAAAACTTTTACATTGCTGTTGTTTTTCTCTTTTGTTGTTTGATTTTAACTTTAAAAATTTTTTCGCTGAGGTAAAGTATGCATATATAATTACCGTCTTTCCCATTTTAAGTGTACAGGGATTCAGTGTTAATAAATATATTTATATTCATTTTTTCTCTTTGATTTTCATTTTATTGAGATTCCTGTACAACCAGCCTAGCTAGTGGTACCTCAGACCTTCATGTTGTGTTATGGGGTAAATTACTTCTCTGCCCAGTTTCATTATCAGGAGTACAAGAATAAGCCATTTGTTATTATTTGAAGGACAAATCTACAACTAGTTTTCTAGCATCCAGGACTTCAGGACTTTAGTGGGTGTGTAAACGGGTGGTAAGGAGTAGATAGAAAAGGAGGCTGTGAAAGTCACTTACTTAAGCAGTGACAAAGAACCAAACCAACATACAAGCAGTGGCATCTTTTTGCTTTTTTAAATTAGTAAATAATGTTTCTTTAAATAATAGTTTTTAATAATTTTACACCTTCTCTGTTAATTTCCTATGTCACAGGGAAATGTTCATCTCGCTTTCCCTTCTTCTTTCAAAGCACATTGTTTCCATTGCCATTTTATAAAATAAGGGAAGCATCCTTCAGCTTACCATGTTTCTCTTATTTACACCTTTGACACCTTAATTGCATGTTCTTATTTTAAATATTTTTCTCAGTATATTCATTGGAGACTTATTTTTTTATTTCGTAATTTACCATTTCCTTAAGTTTTATGGTTTTTTCCCCCTCTCTTTGTTTATTTTTGTGGGTATTTTTTCATATGGCAAATGTTCTTCAAGTCTCTCTTGGCTTTATGTTGCCTCTTTCCTATTTAAGAATCAAGCCACTTAAAGACTAACTCTTAGTGAGCAGAGGTTGTCCCCTGCAAAGTTCACTCTGCGTATGGCAGATAAGGAGTTGGTCATATTGTTAGGAGTCTTCTAGAAGAAAATGGTTTTACCCATAATAGCTACCTTATTTTTCTCCAAATATTTATTTTAACATATTTTGTCTTCTTTCCTGCCAAACCACCCAACAACCTCTTCTTCCTTTTGGCAGGAAGTGTTAGGTTTCCTGATATCTGAGGTGAGACAGTCGAGGCAGTTCTTAACATTCACTTTCAATTAATCTGTCTCCATAGAGTACCATTTCCAACTTTCCTTGTAACTTCTACCTCTGATACAAGAGCCTGTCTGACTTTCTGTTGTGCAATTCAGACACCTTCTCTGGTTTATCTCTTTGCATATGCACTAGGTCCTGGCTCCTGCTGCGATTTTAAAATCTACTAATCTTTTTCTCTTTCCTGAGCTTGTTGAAATCTCTGCCTCTTGTGGCTTCTTTATTCTCCCCATGATTTTTACCAAGAGTTTTCCCTTATTGTAATTTTACTTAAGCAATGAGAGGAAATAAACATACCCTGCCTTGTAAACTTGAAGCATTATTATCTTTTTTGGACATAAATAATTTGGACAAAAATATTTACTTTCCAAACTGAATAATAAAACGTTACACATTCACAAGTTGTTACCAAGTAAGTCTATGTTTCCTGAAAGAAAAGATTGAGAATAATTACTTAATTGAATTACTAATGACTAATTAGATTAGTCAGCTAATCTTCATAATACAAGCTTCTAAGTTGGTATTCTATTGATTTTTTTCTTTGTAATTCTTGAAAACACATATTGAAGTTTATCATTGTAGGTAATTGCACAATTAATAATGGCTGTTCAAATTTGGCCTGAATAAAATATGCTATATACAGATGGCAACCTGACTTAAGCTGTCTGTCACTTTAAGAAGGAATTACCCCACTTGAAACTGACTTTTATATATTACGTTCGTATTCTTCCTTCTTTTTCCTTTCTTCCCACGCCTTCTGTCTGTTGGTTTATAGATCACTTCCAATGCACATTATCTTTGCCAGAATTGCTGGCAATGCCTTTCCCTTGTTTGGTCACCTGTAAAAATTGTATCCGTTGCTCAAATGTTCATTCGGGTAAGACCTCCTTGGTGATGCCTTATGGCCTCTCAGAGTTCCCAATCTCTGTAAATCAATCTGTTACGAAAATTGCATTGTTATACTTTCATATTTCTTTCAATTTGTTTGTAAATGTTTGCAGGGTGGAAATGTATTTTTAAATCACCTACTCCTGGTTTTCAACTTAGCCCTTTTCCCTTAGAATATGTGAAAACGTATGTATTTAACAAATTAATTATATGAATATATGTTACATTTATGCTGTCAAAGAAAAATTATAGTGGGCAAGTTTAAAAAGCAAGAAAGACTTTTTTCAAGACTATTGCAATAGGGGAAAGAATTATACTTAACTAGCCTGGAACAAAAGGTGGGAGAGTTTTTAAGCCAAGAGAGAACTAGTAGAAAAGTACTGGAGGGTGTTACGGAGAGGTTGGTCAGTGTGATCAGGCCATCTGTGTTTGCTAATTGTCCTTTATCAAAGTCAGGCTCCAACCTTCCAACAGAGATTGAAAGATAGGGGCTCTGTCTTTCTTCATGATTATATGTCAAAGGAATGGCTCCCATGTCTTGAGATAGACATTTCTGGGTTGTAGAAGATTTACATCTCGAAGGGCCAGAAAAAGAATTTACAATGGAGAGTTTTCAAAGTAAATACTCTAAGAAAATGTAAGTCAAGGACCTATGGTCAAGATGAAACCTATTTAGTCAAACTGAGAGGAACATTAAGGCCATGTTGATCTTTATTCTCTGATAAAAAATCTCATCTGGAAACAACTGGCTTATATACATTTAAAAATTATTTAACGTATTCTTAACCAAAAACAATATTTTAAAAAGTGCTATAGAACATCAGATAACACAATGCTAGACCTCTTTAGGTGTGCTTTCTCCACAGTAGAAAGGCTGGACTGAAGGATTTCTGGATATATACAATGCATGTTGAGGAGACTCATGGCTGGTTCTTGAGAAAATATTTTCATTTGTGCCTGAAGTCACTAACTTTTCTCACGTTTCTGTGGAGATGGAGTATTAATCCATCAAGTTGTATTTGATCACTTGTTTCCAAAAAAACAAGTATCACAATTTTTATTTAACACATATTTTGCACTTGGCATTGTGTCAGTGCTTGCCCATAGCCTTACTTCATGGATCTTAGAAGTCTGTCCCCTTCCAACCCTTCCAAAGAATTGCTTTTATGTGTTAATATACTACCCCTTCTGCTTTTATCAAAGGCAAGTACACTTATTTGGGTATTTTATCTATTGCATCTTTCACTGTGTCCTGTTTTAAAGCACATGTTAAAATTTATTTTTGAACTGATTGTAGAAAAATATTTCATTCTTTGAAATTTTTTTTTTTTAAATTCTCAGAGATAATAAAGGAATGTAGCTGATTGTGTTTCTCTGTTACGGTTTGATACATAAAAGTCTACCAAACACTACTACAATTTGACCTATAGCAATTGTTTATCTAATATATCTGTGTCTTCTGTCCTTTTTTTTGACCAGTTTTTAACTTTTTGTTGTAATATATATCTTGTTTGGTCTTGATTGTTTGTGTTTTATTATTGCATTATGCAATTATGCATGTTTTTAATAAACTGCTTCAAGATCTTTATGATATAATGTGGGGTATAAACAGAAAAGAATACACAAATACTTAAAAATGCTTAAGGAAATAAATAAATCCTTAAGGAAGCCCTGAATTGAAAAATAGGTCTAAAGCACACATCTACTATAATGTCTATAAAAATCAATGATTGAAGATGACCACGAAATGATAAAGAATTTTGAAGTGTTTTAAATAAATCAAGATCTTTTGCTTAATTATTTTATATTTAAAATCCATGATTCTAAAAAATTTTTCAAAGAAGACACTATTTTTTTCTTTGCTTCTGTGTTTTGCAACATTTTGTCCTTCTGGAAGAACAAAATATTGGATATTCTTCCCACACACTCATTTTAAGGATATTTCTAAAGAGATGGCATTTCATTTTCCACAGGCATACTGCTGCTTTTATTGCATGGTTGGTTTCATTGTGAAGACATTATATAAATGAAGCATACAAGAAAGATTCAGTTTGGAAGTATTGAGTTTATTTATCTTTGATTATTTCACTGTAAGAAAATTCATGGCTTTTCTTGCTTTCTAGTTGTGTTTTTAATTTATGAAAAAAATACAATTTTTTGTTTATATTAATTTACAATCATAGAATATCTTTCTCCTTTTCTTTGAAAGAAAAGAGAGGCACAAGAAGATACATTTAAGACTAAACTGGATGGTTGGGAAGGAAAATGATATTATGCGTTCAGAAGACTGTTACAGGGAAATTTATAGTTAATCTTCCTAATCCAACAATATTCTGTGCAAGATTATGTTCTATATCAGCCATATGATATATTTTTAAGGAAAACATGAATAAACTGTTTTTATTTTCTTCATGCTCTTTGGGTAAACAGCTTTTTGTACTAATTTTAATAATTGTGCCCTAGCACATGATTAAGTGTGCTTGAGAGGGTAACAAATACGTGGATCACAATAATTAGCTCTACTTAAATAGATTTTAAATGCCCTTTTTTGATTCCTGGTTTTATTTCTTATCAATGGTAAATGACTCATATCACAGCCATAGATATGTAAAATAAGAAGATAATATCTGTATGCAGTTTAATGGAGTCAGTAGTGATAGTAAGTCACTTTATGCTAGCAGATATCATTACATAGTTAAATAGGCTATTGTAGGAAGCATTAATTTCTCTGACAAAGATACACTGAGTCATACTGTGCTGCATTTAATGGGATGTCCACTCACCAGTAGTTTTAGATATTGAAATTAACCTTCATTCCATAACCATCCTTATGTCAACAATTAATTTATTATTAATTGAATTAAGAGAATATTTGTCATATTCTCTTTTTTGTGTTATAGAAATAGACTTTATTTTTTAGAGCAGCTTTAAGTTCATGCAAAATTGAGCAGAAGATACAGACATTTCTCATATACTCACTGTCCTACCCATTCATAGCCTCCCTCATTATCAACATCTCCCAACAGAGTGGTACTTTTGTCACAATTAATAAACCTACATGGACACATCATTATCAGCCAATTGATAGTTTCCCATTAGGGTTCACTCTTGGTATTGTACATTCTGTGGGTTTTAACTAATGTATAATAACATGTATTCACCATTATAGTATCATACAGAATAATTTCACTGCCCTAAAAATCCTCTGTGTTGCATGTATTCATTCCACCCTCTCCCTAATTCCCAGCAACACCTGATCTTTTTACTGTCTCCATAATTGTTTCTTTTCTGATTTATTTAAAACACTTCAAAATTCTTTCTCACTTTATGGTCATCTTCAATCACTGATTTTTATAGACATTATAGTAGATATGTGCTTTAGACCCACTTTTCAATTCAGGGTTTTCTTAAGGATGTATTTATTTCCTTAAGCATTTTTAAGTATTTGTGTATTCTTTTATGTTTATACTCCACATTATATCAGAATGAGTTTTTGACAGCAGGTTGCAAAATGTGCATGCGAGGGATCTAGGCTGCATGCTCCTTATGAGAATCTAATGCTGATGATTTCAGGTGAAACAGTTTCATCCTGAAACCATCCCTCCCACCCTATCTGTGGAAAAATTGTCTTCCGTGAAACTGGTCCCTGGTGTCAAAAAACTTGGGGACTGCTGCTGTAGATCAATTTGGGAAGAAGTGATATTTTGTCAGTGTTTAGTCTTACTATCCATTGTTATGGAATATCTCTCCATTTGTTTAGTTCTAATTTGATTTCTTTCACCAGCGTTGTTTAGTTTTTTTTCATATAGATCTTGTACACATTTGTTAGATTTATACCTAAGTATTTCATTTTGGGATGTATTAATATAAATGATGTGGTTTCTTTAATTTCAAATTCCCAATGTACTCTTTATATGCTAGACTGAGTGCTACAGCCTAGGGATGGTCATAAGTCAGAAAAGAATCTCTCTTCTACTTTAGGGTGCTTTATTCAGGATTACATACTGAAATAAAATAGTGGTTGCCACCAAAGTGTTTGACACCAAAAAAGAAAGAAAATTAATTTTCAGATGATGATAAAACTGAAAATAAACTTGAATATATTTACTCTTTGAAATTGATTTCAACAATTTTTGTATTGCTAAGAGATGAGGTTTCCAATGTTTAAATTATCATTTTGGGTGTCATAGCATTTGCAGGAGAAAACATTAAAAGTTAGTGATCCATTAACAAATTAGGAAGATTTCATTCTCCTTAGGATTTAAAAGTGTAATTTTCCAAAACATTCCCTTATTTATCTTTTGTTTATTTAGGCAAGGAGTTAAGTACCTTTTGAGGTTTTGTAGGCATTTATTGGAAACAAACAAGTAGAAATGCCTACCCATTAAAAGATACAAGTTAACCAGTATATTATATATTTTTAAGAAATATTGAAAAGAATGTTAATTCATGTAGATTTTAAATTTATTTTAGTTCTTAGCAGCTGCTCTTGTCCAAACCATTCAAAAGCTTTCTCTTTCTCTCTCATATAAATAATACCCATCCTCATGTGTGCCAGAATCCATTGGGATAAAAAATCCATAGACATAAAACTACGGTACAATGTGATCGATGAAAACTCATCATACCTGTATAAAATGTTAATAGAAAAATGGGAGTGTTGGCCAGGCATGGTGTCTCACACCTGTAATCCCAGCACTTTGGGAGGCTGAGGTGGGCAGATCACGAGGTTAGGAGATCAAGACAACCCTGACTAACACGGTGAAACCCCATCTCTATTAAAAATACAAAAATTAGCCGGGTGTGGTGGCTGGTGCCTGTAGTTCCAGCTATACGGGAGGCTGAGGCAGGATAATCGCTTGAACCCAGGAGGCAGAGGTTGCTGTGAGCCAAGATCATGCCACTGCACTCCAGCCTGGGCAACAGAGTGAAAATCTGTCTAAAAAAAAAAAAAAGAAAAGAAAATGGGGGTGTTAAGGTGTCTTTTCATTTTTCTCCTGAAGGAGAAGAACCGGTATGCTAGGCAGTGAATTAAATTGCAGGGACCTGTAATGCTTAGAAATTTAAGGCATGATGATATGTTTGTTTGTTTTCGTTTTTGTTTTGTTTTGTTTTAAAAAAGCAACAACAAGAGATCTTAGGAAAACATGAGCTTGGGGAATAAGTTTAAAAATATTATGAAAGGCTATAGAAGGAGCTCTCCCCTTTGTATATTTAAAGTCTCAACATAATAAAATTATTATGGCACTATTTATTTATTTTCTTAAAGAAAAGCTCAGGTAATTCAACAAGACACTGTATCTTCCAGAAAATCACCTATGCTCTGTTCACTCCTATATACACTGCCTCCCAGGTTGTATCTGTAGGTATATTACTTACATTTAAAGAGATATTGCCAAAAAACAACAATAGGAAACTATTAAAATGTTTAGTAGTAAGAATATTTAAAGTGTATCATGTAAGATTGTGATGTAAGATAAAAGGAAATAAAATAAAACCATCATGTCTATAATTCTAATAAACATATTTAATGTTTTTGTTGTTATAATTTTGGAAAAGTATAGCTTTGACCTCAAATGGATTGCTAGCCTTATCTATTGATCTCTTTTGCACAGCTGTTATTTTAAATAAACAACAATTATTTTTGGTTTATTTATTTTTTTTATAATGGGTTGCTTCTTTTTTCCATAGGCATTTAACCTTTAGATAACTATCTGTGTCCCTCACAAGAATATCACATGTTTTTTATGATAAACATGAACACTGATAAAGAAATTGCATCTAGAATGACAGGTTTGCTATGCGTTAAGCTTTTCTTAGTGTGGTGGCCCTTGTACTTGGCATGGCCTTTGTAGAGATACTGAAAGCTCTGCCTTTAAGTTGATACAAAATATTTTTGCCTCCTGTGGGCCATGTGAAGGTTGGGTAGCAACCACACCTGCCTGATCTGAGCTTGTCTCCTTTCTGGGTTGGGCCACCTGGTATCATCTTAGGCTGTTTGAGTTGCAATAACAGAATACTAAAGACTGGGTACCTTAAACAACAGACATTTGTTTTCTTTCAGTTCTGGAGACTCAAAGTCTAAGACCAAGGTGCCAGAAGATTGATTCTTGTGAGGCCAATCTACCTGGTTTACACATGGCCACCTTCTTCCTGTCTTCTCACATAGACTTTCATCTGTGCATGCTCAGAGAGACAGATATCTCTGGTGTCTCTCCCTTTTCTTATAAGGACACCAGTCCTATTGGATTAGGTCCCGCCCTTATGATCTCATTTAATTCTAATTACCTTTTTAAAGGCTCTGACAAGATTCCAAGGAAATCATCCTATTATTACTAGTACTGTGTGGTGAGAAAGTCAAACCTCTAAAATGTTGCGATTCTTGCCCAAAGCTACATGTCAGTATGTTTCAAAGCCAGCAATTTATTAAAACAGCTAAGTTTACTCTTAGGTGCAATTATCACCCAAGCAATTTTGAGCACAGAAGAAAAAGCCTCACCTGGCTGAAGCATAGGGAGGGCACACGAGGCAGAAGTGGAAGCAGAGAGGAGGCAGAACCCATGTTCAGGGCTTCCTATGCCATTTTGAAGAAGTTGGATGCCATTTTAATTGCAAAGGAAAGACAACAAATATTTTCAGCAGAAAAACGTTATAACTGGATAAAGTTAAATGATTATTCTGCATGCTGGATGGAGAATGGTCTGTAATGGGCAGGGATAAGATCAGAGAAACCATTAAGTTGCAGTGTGTGGACAAAAAGAAATGGTTATTTGGACTTAAGGTGTAGTAGTAAAGCTATTAGGTAGTCAATTCTGGAGACACTTTGGTGTTAGAATCGACTTGTTATTCTGAAGCTTTCAATGTGGGATGAGGAAAAGAGAGGAATTAAGAATGACAGCTTGGGTTTATCCTTGACAAACAATGGAGTTAAGTGACATTTATTGAGATGGGAAATCTCAAGTTAAGGGATAGGTTTCTGTGGGAAAATAGGGTTTCTGAGTCAAACATGTAAAGTTTAAGCTGCTTGTTAGACAATCAGATTTGTCAGATTGGCAATGGGAAATGCAGTCAGGAGTTTCTAAATGAGATAAGTGTTCAAGATACAAATGATATATGAAATTGTGGCACTAGATAGAATTTTCTGGATTTGAAGATAGAGTAGAGAAGAAAACAAAGAACCAAGTCCTAGAATATTTCACTACAGTATTGATCTGAGAAGGAGAAATCAGGAAATGAGACAGAAAATTGTACTGAGATGTGAAAGAAACAAAGTGAGAGAGAGTCACAGATTTCAAGAAACGGAAGCAGTGATAGCTAAGTGTGTGAGATGTTGCTAAGAAAGTGGAATGAAAGGAAGACTGAGACATGGCTACAGCACTTGGTAAGAGGAAGTTGTGGGCAAAATACCTGGAAGGTAATTTCGTGAATCCAATTTAGAGAGAAACTGAATGAAACAACAAACTAGGAACAGCAAATACAGTTAGAGCTGTCACGAGTTTTGCTGTATGAGGAGCTCACATATGAGACCCATAGTTGAAGGTAATTGGGAAAATATTTCCCTTTCAGTTCAGCTGTTTGCTCTTCTGTAAAATCTGGAGATTGTCGATCAATACTTGGTATTAACTAAAAATCAACATTCAATTATCTCACAGTGGATCCTTGGTTTTTAGATTAACCATGACACCAACAAGAACAGTACAAATTATGAAATATTTCTCTATATTAGAAATTTCCAGTCGTTTTGAACTACATAGCAACTAGTAGATGAACTGTAACTATGGTACTGTATCAATATTGCTTTCTCCACTGAGAGGCAGGCCAAATACAGAGTAGATGCCTACATAATATTGTTCTATTATTTAACTCAGAAACAAAATAGCTCTCTGGAAGAGTAAAAAATACAAAAATATAAAGTATCTTGGCTGTGATAAACATGAATTGGAATTTGAGACTTTATATATAGAAATGTTGGGAGATCCAATGATAAGAAAGTAAACTTTTTATTATTTCCTCAAGAAAAAAAAAAGGAAAAGATAATTTTGCCTTAGAATTGAAAACATATTCCAAGATGGCTGGGCTGAGTGGCACAAAAGTAAATCTTAAGAAGTGGATTGGAGGCCAGGTGCGGTGGCTCAGGTCTATAATCTCAGCACTTTGGGAGTCCTAGGCGGGAGGATTGCTTAAGGCCAGGAATTCCAGGCCAGCCTGGCCAACATAGTGAAACCTCATCTCTACAAAAAAACAAAAAAAACAAAAAAAAAACAAATAAACAAACAAAAAACTAGGCCAGGGATGGTGATACATGCCTGAAGTTCCAGCTACTTGGGAGGCTGAGTTGGAAGGATCCCTTGAGGCCGGGAGGTCAAGACTGCAGTGAGCTATGATCATGCAACTGCACTCCAGCCTAAATGAGAGAGCGAGACCCTGTCACTTAAAAAACAAACAAACAAACAAAAAACCCTGGATTTGGTGGTCAAATGGTTTTGAGGGGTGACAATTCTAGGAAGCACTATGAGAAAGGGGGAGAGGAAAGAGAGACAAGAATGGAGGGATGGCAATGCGACATGCCCCCACAAACTAATAGCCACCGTGAGAAACTGTGTTCAGACCCACTGGCAACCTTCTAAGATAAATTTTGAAAGTTGGAATTATCTAGGATAATGATTTACCTTCTCCTGCCTCTCGGAGGATGGCCTATCCCATAGGTGGGTCGGATATGTTATAGAGATACACACAAGAGGCACCGATTCTCACGGAGACTCCCTTCTGTGGCCAAGAGAGTAAGCTAAGGGAACACAGGGAGAGACACCAACAAGCTGGCTTCAACAGCCTAGTTCACCAACCTCTTTTTGGGAACTTTCATGTTATTTGGTAGGCATTTTAAATGGAAAAAAAATGATAGTTTTCTAATTTTCTAGGGGTTTTAAATCTGGGAAGCACTGGATATGCTGTTTTTATTGTATTTCTAGGTACGTATAAATACACTGTGAAGATTTAGATTATACAAGCCACACAGGGTAGTGGAGGGTTGCAGAAGCATTGGAAACGTGTTAAAATTATCCTTTGTACAAACTCCACTTTCATTTATTTCATCTTTGGTGGGAGGAGGAAAAGTGACAATAATCTATAAGCATAAATAAGCTTTGTCAGCTATGTTAACAAGACCAACTACGTCAACATGATTTCTGTTACTTGATCCACTTTGTATGTATCTGAAGTCTTTAAAGTTATTATGGGAGTATATTGACAGGTTAAAAGGCAAATAACAAATGAACCTGTAAAGTAGATGTTTTTAGTGTGTTATAGATGCAGAAGGTGTCATGACATTTATTAAACAGACATAAAGGAAGTTCAGATCTAAGATCAATTAATTGTACAAATTGATTAACAGAATAAT
This sequence comes from Homo sapiens, assembly GCF_000001405.40. Classification (NCBI taxonomy): domain Eukaryota; kingdom Metazoa; phylum Chordata; class Mammalia; order Primates; family Hominidae; genus Homo; species Homo sapiens. The sequence goes on along the minus strand of NC_000005.10, from coordinate 22,547,991 downwards.
CAAAACAAACTAATTTCATTCCTTTGGATCCAATGCAGTATTTGCCTATAAAATTTACCCCATGTAATATTAATAATGGAGTTGGGGAGAAGGTTTCCATGGGCGGAAATAGTGCTCGAGAGACTGAATTTCCATTACTGCATCATTCAATATTCCAATCCCCTACTCAATGTGTTTTATTCATTAGATATTTGTTTCTACAAATTCCCCTAATACGTTCAGACCACTTACCTATTTAAACACTAAATAAGCTATAATTGATGTTAATTAACCCACTATCAAAACATATTGAACACAATTTGATGTATTAGTTGATACATGACTTATAAAATAAAATGCATTTATTTATTTTTATCCCCCAATGAGTTTATATTATCAGCTCTGGAATATGTTACTGTACATTTTAATTTTATCTAAAATTTGGAATGCACCAGAAATAGAAAGAAGCACTATTTACTAAGAAGGAAAATTTCTATTTCTAATCAGGAAAATGGTATAGTTTAGAAAATATAATAGTATATGACAATGATCTTTTATAAACAAATACATTTTTCATTGAGGAGAAATTGGACTGACGACTAATTAATGCATTTATAGTCTCAGCATTCTGAATCACCGGCCAGTCATTGAGAAGGCGTGTTACTGGCTTTTTGAGAGAGATACTTACCCATGTCTCTCAATATTCTCAACTCTGAAACATACATGTAATTATGTAACAAGTCTCTTGTCTGTATAAAGTGATCCAGTAAATATTGAACTGGACATTCACAAGCTAACCTTTTAAAACTAACTTTCACACTAACTCCCCCATCCAGTTTTGCTACATGAGTTTGTTTTATTTTAAATTTTTAATTACAACAGTTTTTCTGAGATGAACTTTCTTTAGGACACTGTTTTCTGCATATGGTCTATAAAACAGCCCTCAAATGGATGTGCATCATAAATATGATTTAAAATGCAAAAGTTATCTCCTAATGCACCACCATCTGAAGCACTTTACAATCGCATTTTCCAAACAGATCTATGCTTTATTTTTGTTATACCTATTGCAGATGAAATACCAAATAGATTAGTTTATTTGTTTTGCATTTGCTTGAGATCACAGTAAGATAAGTAGGCTTGGCTTTTTGTAATACTGAAAAATATGTAGGCGTTAAGATTTTAAATGGGGCCCTAGAAAATAAATATACTTTGATACACCATGCAAAAGGCTTTCAATGTATTTTTTTATTGTGCATACATATGGATTATAGGTTCTCTGTCTTTTCAAGCACAGAACATGCCCATTCTTCTTTCCTTACTATGCAGAAATGACATACTCTACTAAATTGACATGTCAGACTGTACCATAACATTGCCCAATGTATGTGCTCTATGATTTATAGTGTAATTCAGTATAACACTTACTCAAAATTAAAAGAAAAAATCTTTGTTCCAGATGTAAAATCAAGGTCTCACAGCATTTTACAGAGAGGGGATTGCCTAACATTATCTAAATTAAACTGACCTGATATATGGAAGGTCGATGATTGGTTAGTTTATACACAGAAATTTATGAAATGAAATGGTCTGAACATGCTACAGAGCTTTCAGACATCTCTCATTTTTTTCGCTAGACTCAGTGCTGGTATTGCTTTTGCAATTTATACTCATTAATCAGCATTTTTATTTCATTTCCTATAGATTGAATAGCATGACTATATTGAGCAAAATAGTAAATTTTATACTTTTCTGATGCAAAAACAATTGGCCGGGTGTGGTGGCTCATGCCTGTAATCCCAGCACTTTGGGAGGCCGAGGCAGGTGGATCATGAGGTCAGGAGTTCAAGACCAGCCTGGACAACATAGTGAAACCCTGTGTCTACTAAAAACGCAAAAAATAAGCCAGGCGTGGTGGTGGGCACCTGTAATCTTGGCTACTTGGGAGGCTGAGGCAGGAGAATTGCCTGAACCAGGGAGGCAGGGGTTGCAGTGAGCCGAGATTGTGCCATTGTATTCCAGCCCCAAGCAACAGTGCGAGACTCCATCTCAAAAGCAACAACAACAACAACAACAACAACAACAAAAATCTAGACAGTTTAAGTGACATTACTGTATAACTCAAACATACTTAAAGAAAAAAGTAAGTACTGCACATTTTTCACCAATAGACATTTTTTCTCAGATAACTTTGCTGTGATTTCACCTTGTACTTAGCAGTTATACATTAATTCAAAGGTGTCAAATAAAAGAGAAAAATAGAATGAGTATAATTATATTTTACATCAATTATTATTTTTATACATCATTTAAAATGTACAAAAGGAGATAATTTATGGATTAAAATGTAATTGTTGATTATACATATGCCATCTACAGAAGATACTTTTATTTTGATCGTAGGCTTACCAAATGATCTAAAATATATGGTTTGAGACTGCGAGTTAGAAATGCTGGTATCCTTATTTCAATCTTAGTATAGAATTTGTTATGACCCTGCTATTCTTGTTCCCCAAGTGTATCCTGAATCATCTAGGGATCTATATTAGAGCAGTTGTATCTGTCTATACCTTGCCCTGCATATTTGTTGCTATATTAAATTTTGTCACACAATTTTAAACAATTTCATGGCTTGAAGTGGCAAAAGCATGACTTGCCATTGCTGGAGCTAAAGAGAATTTTACCTCATTTAAATGCTATTGCTGCTGTGGCCTTCCTGTCTATATATTCAGACAAACCAAGAACATCCTTTAGAGGCAGTGTGGCCCCCACCATTGATGGGTATTGAGCTGGCACCGGAGATGGCCTCTCAAAGTCCTTTGAACTACATTGGTTTAAGTGTCCCAGCACAATAACATAATAAATTCAGGTTTAGGAAACTGTCCTTCTCTGCACAAATATCCACCTCAAAAGTAGCCAGAGGCATCTTGTAAAAACCCATCACTAAATTATGTGTTACACAGACAGATGAGTGGCTGATAAATAGTGTTGTGTTTTGTATGTGTACGTGTGTGAGTAGATGGAATAGTCTTTTTTTTTGCCACATCTCACTAGAATATAGTTTATATTGAGCTGTCTCTGATTTAAAAAAGAACGTCACCTGTAGCCTCTTCTTTCAGTGGGACACAGATGGTGACTATATGGGAAGGAAAAGGTGACCTTTAATAATATGTCCTATTACAAGGCTTTTTTTTTTTTGACAGAGTCTCACTCTGTCACCCAGGCTGGAGTACAGTGGTGCAATATCAATTCACTGCAATCTGTCCTTCCTAGGCTCAAGTAGTGCTTGTTCTTCAGCCTCTGTAGTAGCTGATACTACAGGCGTGTGCCACTGCACCTGGCTAATTTTTGTATTTTTTTGTAGAGACAGAGTTTTGCCATGTTTCTCAGTCTGGTCTTGAACACCTAGGCTTAAACAATTCTCCCACCTCGGCCTCTCGAAGTGTTGGAAATATAGGTGTGAGCCACCATGCCTGGCAACAGAGCATTTTTAATATACCTGCTACTCACTCTAAGATGGATGATCTGAGATTCTAATATTATACATATTATTTTAATCTTTGTACAGAATGATTTTGAACATATGGTAAAAGACCTGATTTTGCTATAGAGTGAGAGGGTCCAAAACCATAAACTAATTGCTAACTCTATGAAGTTAGTGGACAAATAATTATATATGGAACTAATCTATCCTCATCAATTAACTTCCTGCCATTATTTTAGCTGTTTAATTTTTCATCAGATTGTAAACAACAGGAGTCACCATGTGTGAACATGGTCTAATTTCATACTACTCTGCATCATTGGAAGGCAACTGTGATTATTTGGAGACAACCTAGAGGAGAAAAGAGCCAAATAGGCAATGAAAATAAAAAAAAAAGTAAATGATGCACCAATCCTGGCTGGATGAAAGGCTGTAGAGATGAATGAAGGAAAAATGAACCCATTTTTGTTCCATTGGTATTGGCATTTTTAACCACATCTATATATCTTTTGATTCTAATTCTTTGATTTTTGACTAAGAGGAGGTAGGGATAGGCTTTAGCAGATCACAGACTTGTCCACGGCACTGTTAGGCACATCAGGAGCTACTTGTGAAAAAAAAAAAGAAAATGACAAACGTATTTGATGTGTTTTATTTTTCTAAAAAATGGACATGTAGTGTGAAATATGTTTGAAAGTATGAGCATTGATACAGAGAGTAAGTGTCTTGGGACCAAAGGCTTGTGGTACCTACCATAGGACTCTAGCTTACTTTAGAAATTGTTTACTTCAACATCTTCATTTAAATGTAAGATCACTGTGGTTCAGACCACATGACAAGGCTAGTTTATTGTAGAAGTGTAAAGACAGCCCAGATTGCCTGTGCCTTTTTTTTACTAATTTTCTTTCTAGACTGTAGGTTCTCAGAAATGAAGAAATCACAACATTTACTTCTTGGGTACAGTTGTAATATTAACTTTATTTTCCTTTTGGTGGTTTAATATTAGAATCAACAATCGATATTAAGCTAAGAGATCATAGTTTAATTATTAATAATTTTACTATTAGAGTAAATGATATTTTAAAGTAGCGTCATACAATCTGGTAAATCTGAGTTCACCAGGTTTTCTGCTAGGCTTTTTATAATCAGTAATAAATGGGAAAATGTTCCTATTACAGCATTCAATAAAACATTGTATGCTACATGATTGGAACACAGTCTACTCAGGTTTTGTTATTGTCAAAGGTATACAATTGTTATATTTTTATTTAAATAACATTAAGAAGTTGTTCTTGATTTACAAGTTTTATGTGTATTATCCCATTTGATTCTCCTATTAACTCTGTATTGTAAATGGGGTAGGCATTTTTAACCTCATTTGGCATTTAAGGTGGAATGACCAAAAGATAACTTGTTTGCTTTAAGTCTTGCAGTAAACTAGAATAGAGAATAAGAATGAACATAATTCTCATGACTCTGATTTTATTGCTCTTTTCCTTATTTGAGGAATTATAGGAACTTATAATCAGAGCTTTCTCTGACTTTTTAAAATAAATTACAGGCAAAAATAATCTTTTTACTTGAGAAAATATGTACTGGAAAATACCTTGTAAACAAATCATATTTATTACTATTTGCCTATTTAAATGTGACTGTCAAAAATTATCAATGCCAGTGAACATAAAATTAAAGCCAAGCATCTGTGCATTCCATATACGCTTTGCTGTAATCTGTGTCATAGGCATCATTAACTTAAGCAATTAAGTTCAATGCCCTAGTTTCTGTTGACAAGTGTACTATTTTTAGAATTTTTTTCACATCTTACATTGCTTCATTGCTCTTGCACCTCATGAGAAAAAAGAATCACATTTATGTTAAATCTTTTTAAGGTTCCCCACTGCAGCCAAAGGGTGATAAACACGAACTGTCAGTGTAATTAAGTCAAAGTGCTACTCTTAAGGAAGTCCACTTAGAGAAAACCATTACTAAAGGTGGTTACTTTAAATACAAACTGATCATTAATTCCAGAGCCACTTCTGGGTACTCTCCTAGTGATTATAAATCAGTAAAATTGGTTTACAGTGCACTAATATTCTTTAAAATAACTTAGTAGCAATCATGATTGAACAGCCACTTGGCAATGGATCATTTTCTCTTCTTAACCACTTTATTTCCTCCCAATTATTGTACAAGAAGTTATATGTTGGATTTCAGGGACAGGTTGTATAATTACTGACCAATTTTTTAAAATTGCTTTTAAAAGCTAGGTGGAGTTTATGCAAGATGAAATCATATGTCAGTAAAAACACCAGAACTTAACGCTAGGAAAGGTAGTAATATTGTCTTCTCTTATTCTAACCTGTAAATAAAAATTACATTGCAGTTGTCAACATTGATTAAATATTATAAACAATGACCAGGAAAATACCATCTTTTAAAAGCAATGCTATAGTCATTCCTCTAATGCATGTACCTATTTAAAACTCAGGAAAGTGATCTGTAAAAGCAACATAAGAGCAATAAATATTGTCTGTATTGGCTTTGTAGCCCTAACAGAGCAAATGAAAGCCATGTCCATGAATCAATTCTGCTCAATTCAAAAGAAATCTTTCAGTGAGGTATAGAGTGTTGACACTGGGTTCAAGTCCTGGAAGCATTAGAAAAATTCTAGTTCTAGTCCTTCATTTGGCAGGTGTGTTATCTTTGGAAACATCCCAAATCTTAGGTCCTAGTTTTACTCATTGTCATTTAAGAGGCCAAGGTTACATCTCTAAGGTATAGATCCTTGGTCTCTCCTTTGAATCTCTGGAGGCAAATGTATTTTGAAAGGTATACTTGTGGAGATTTTAAAAATGATTATAGGGCACAAACACAGTATGTCACCTACATCCCCACTGGGGTGGGGGATGGTACCCTGTCATTAAAGTCATCATTATTTTTACAGGATACCAAGAATAACCTTACTTAGGAGGCACTTTCATTCTCTCATTGCCTTACAAATGATCAGGTTTTGTCCCTAAGTGAGTGTGTACCAATTGTGGGACAAATCTTTTCACTTTCAGGACATTTGGGACATTGGAATTTCAGATAAAACATGGTGCCTCACACCCCACAGCTTGAAAATTATAAAATGGTGTCTATTTTAGGCATGAGAGCTATGCATCATTTTGATGAACATTGAGCACTTCATCTCACACTTCATGTGCAAGTTAAGAGGCAAGAGCCTGAAATGAAGAGTTTCTGGCGAACTGCCAAAGCCCTGCAGCAGCTGCATAGCCAGGTGGGATTTTATGGAGCTTTGACAGGGGAAGTGTCACTCAAGTATCTGACACCATTGTCTGCTCATGGCAGGAGGTGGGATCTTTGATGGCTTGATAGGCATGATAGCTACAATTAATCCTCCCCAAAGAAATGACTCTTACATAGAACTTACTAGTCACTTCTAAAAATACAAACCTAACTACCAGGAAACAAATGACTTCTGTTGGAGACCAAGAGACAGAACATCTTTCCCTCTCCAAGTCAACCCTCCTAGTAAGAGTGAGATTATTTTCTACATCTCAACAGAGAAATATTTCAAATATGAGACTTCAAAACACGAGACAGGTGTGGGTAATTAATTGAGCCATTACCAATAATTGCTATATATATAAATGCATATGTATATATCCATACATTACTGATATGAAATTTGTCATAAGAAAGATTTGCTTTACAGAATTGACACTTCGCTTTTTCAATTTTTAGGTCTTTCTATTAAGTGAATTTTCTTGAAATACTGGGTGAACAGATGCAGGGGCTGTACACCTGAACCTGGATTTACACAACAAATGTATTCTTTAAATTTATGTGTAGGTGGAAGCATATGTTAATTTCACCAGACTAGTAAGGTACTAAAAGAAATCCTGTGTGAATTATTTTCTTCTTAATGTATACAATCACATCTAAAGTAATATAGTCTTGGAATTTTACAAATGGATTTCTTTTTATAAAAATATGATGATTTTGGTATTAAAAATAGCTTTAGAAGAAGTTCATTATAACATAAAACTACTAAAAGTGAAGGTAGCTGTTTAAAAATGTGATCCTTCTCTTTTACCCTTCTTTTTCTGACTCCTATTCTAAAAATGTAATAATGCTTATGGAAAATTGCCAAAAACACCCTCTTAAAATGGCTTATTTGGAATTAAACATAATAATAACTTCTATGATTTTGTGTAGTTTTCTCTTGAAATACATTTAATTAATGAAATGATATAGAATCAACAAACTCATCCTCTTTATATATATAAATATGCATATATATATGTATCTGACATACTGATGAGACATATATGAATATATTTATCCCTCAATTTTGTGTGATATTTTGATAATGTAAAATATAAAATTGCTCTGTGCTAAAAAAAGATAAACATTTCTTCTGTGTCAATCAACACTCCCATGTTTTGTAGTTCACTTGGAATATTGGCTTAAAAACAAGAAATCACAGTAGAACATCTCATTGACATTCAATAGGAAAATTGTGCTGACAGAATGCTACAAGAACTAGAGAAAGATCCATGCCAAGAGAGTAAATTAAAAACAGTCTGATAGCTGTCTTAACATTTTACAAGGCAAGCAATATGATCAAGTTGTTGAGCTGACATCATAAAATCATTTGAAACCAAGATTGGGTTCTGTTTCAGAGATACGATTTTTATAACCTTGCTACTTTGATTAAATGGTGCAGTACTCAAGCTGTGGAAAGCAGGGCATCTCTACAGATCACATCCATACAGCCCGCTCATTCACTCTCACGTACTTTTATATACACTCTCAAGGACAAATTAACAAACTTTTCTGGAATTGGATTTTAGCACCACCTCATTTATTTGGCCACTTTTCTGTATCTTGATTTATAAACATCACATATTTACATCACACTCTGACATGCATTTTCATATAATACATCATCTCGACAGCACAGACCTTGTGGACAAAGCAAGGAGACGATTGGTTGTGTCCCTTACACAGGAAGATTTTTCATTGCCTTTCTCAAGAACATCTACTCTTCAATCCTTTATTCACCCATTCATTTATTAACTGGTAATATGTGCAGAAATGAAATTAATAATTTACTTATTCAATACAGTTATCAGGCAATAACTATGTGCTTAACACCTTTCTTGGTGATGTGCAGACATTACCTCTGGACTTATGGAGACCCACTTCCATGAAGTGTCTCCCTTTGAGTGCACAAACTTTATGTACAGTCAAGAAAGACTCCTTCTTAGTGTTCTATTCACTCACCCATTCATTTAAGCAGTACATCTGTAGATATTATTTGCAGACACTTTTTTATTACACAGAATATCAACACACATATGCATTATTTGCTCTTCTGAACTCCCTGACATTTCAAATATGCAAGCTCTTCTTATAACTGTTTAGATCACTTTGCATTGTAATATTATTAAACTTCCTGCAGTTGGGCACAGTGGCTTGCACCTGTAATCCCAGCTACTCAGGAGGCTGAGGTGGGAGGATCACTTGAGCCCAGGAGTTTGAGGCTGCAGTGAGCTATGATTGTGCCAGTGGAACACAGCCTGGGCAACAAAATCAGACCCTGTCTCTAAAGAGAAATTAAGTAAACAAACAAACTAGTTGCATACCTTATTATATGAAGTGTTAATACAAATATTGACTGGACCTGCAATACCTTATTTTAGCAGTGTACCTTGACCAAGGCCACTCTCAAACATTTTGGTTTCTGAACACAATCAAACAAATGCATGAATTGAGCATGAGTGTTGTGTAAATATTATTATAAAAAATCAGTCTGAAGTTGAATTAAAATATTAAAAATAAAAAATACTGGTATTTCACCACAGATAGTTTGAGAAGTACTAAACTGGGCTAGTGGTTCTTCAAATGGGTGTGATTTTTGCCTCTTGCCAGCCCCACGGAACATTTGGCAATGTCTCGAAACAATTTTGGTTGTTCACACTGGTTTGATGGTGCTACCGGTGTCTTGTCAGTGGAAGTCAGGACTACTGTTAAAGATCTCACAATGCATAAAGCAGCCTCCCACAATAAAGAATTATCTGCTGTAAGATATCAGGATGCTGGTGTTTAGAAATCTGGCCTTATAGGTAGTTAGGAATGTTTGGGGAGGTTGGTGGAGAGACTAATCCATCTTGCTTAAAGGTATTTGAAGAATTTGCCTGAGAAATATTTTAAGTCAGTTGATAGGGAGGTGATATGATGTGAGACCAGAGGGAGTAGATTGGCTGAAAAAGAGTTTTCAATCATTCAGGGTGAAGAAATGAGGATTTTTAGACTGTGACGGAGATGGTAGTTAATGAAAGAGAGAGAAAGAAACAGATACAAATGGTATGGAATGCACTTGGGGTGAAGAAAAAAGATTAGCCTGATGCCTTCCAACATCAGTCCCTAAGGTGGTAGAATGTGCTGCTGATGGCAACCTGAGGGAGGAAAGTGGGAAAGACCAGCTAGGTCTTGAATTCCTAGTTTACTGCATGCTGCATCTTTTTCTATATAAGGTTGCCCACAACAAAGAATTATCAAGCCCAAAATGTCAGCAGTGCCCAGGTTGGAAAACTCTGCTCTAAGCAACTGCAGACTACTTAACACAGCAATCATTCACAGCCTTTTCTTAAAGTCTTCAGAAGTGATACTGTAAGAGTAAAAGAAAGCGGAAACAAACACAAAAAGTGGCTAAACAGTCACAGACAAGTTTATTTTGGAGAATAAACCTGAGAGGGGCTTCTGGACAATTTCGGTCAGGAGCGCTCTCTAAGAGTATTTATTGTTTTTTTAGAGTGAGAGAGCTTATCACAAGCTTGGAGTGTTTCTGTGAGGGGAGAAGTTTATGGTGGGGTTGGAATGTCTCTGGTTGGAGCAGAGGTTATTTTGGGGCTGACATCTCTCCGGCCAGAGGGGAGGTTATCTCAGGGCTGGCATGTCTTTGGTTGGGGAGGGGTTTGGAATGTTTCTGGTTGGAGATGTTATTTGTGATTTATGGCCATGCTGACCTTAGCCATGAGGCTGATGCCCTTTGGATTTAAGCAATTTTTGATCAAGGTGAACTTTAAAATGACAGTGCTCGTCCAAGATAGTGATGCTGCTGCTCTGTCAATACTACTGTATTAAATTCCTTTAAGACTTCATAAACATATTGTTTTTATTTAGAGTTAAGCTGTCTCCTATGCCGACTGGAGTGAATTTGTTTGTTTTCACTCTTCAAGGTATTGCCAATGGGTACCTTGTTAACTTCACAATTTAGCAGCAGTATTCTTACCCAGTTGATGGTTGGATATAAAGAACATTTCTTTACTGATATGTAATCTTGTTACCTTTATAGTTTTGCTTGATGTGCATATTACTAAAAGTTTCAGCCTGCTGTAATGATCATTTTCTATTAATGGCACCATAAGAAAATGTCTGTGTCTCAAGGTCATAATAAAAGGTGCTTATTTGGTCTCCAGGATTCAGAAGCAAAGGCCCTTGGTGTGTCAGTTCTGATGGGGTCAAAACCAAGAGTTAGGCCTTTAATCTTTTTAATGAATGTTGAATACTCTTTTTAAAATGCAGTGTTATTTCTGTAGGTCACACAGGAGGCCATTTATATCAGAAAAACCACAAAAAGAAAGCTAAGGAGAAGTTTTTGTGCAGTCAAGTGGATTCAGGGCTGAGCTAAGCATTGAAATGTGTAGCTTAAAGTTCATACAATTAACCTGCAATATAAATAAACAAAAAATAGTTCATGGTCCTCTAACAAATTGAGCTGTTCACCACTAGTTTAGGGGTTTTTAGCTCTGCACTGTTAGCTATGTATGTTTTCTAAATTCAAATGCGTTATATACTCTACAGAATTTGTAAGAAAGATGGAGTATCTTAGGCAAGACAATTAGTACAACAATATTTTACCAAAGTTATTTATGATATTGGGTGTTGCAATACATTAGCACTTATTAGCATAATCATCAACAACTGAATAACTATATTAGGACCTGTAAAAAATACCACTTTCAATACCTGGCAAGTACAAAAATATCAGCAAGCCAACACCACCACTACCACTATCACCACCACCACGACCACAACAACCACCACCACCACCAGCAACAATTGCTAACATTTATGGAGCACATGCTACATTTTCATCATTCTTTTAACCTGTTTACATTTACTATGTTGAAAACCCCATAGCAATCATACTAATTGGATACTCTGGTGACCATTTGTTGATGGCAAAGAAACTAAGACATAGAATGATGAGATTGCTTCGCAAGGTCAGTACATACGTTGTGATGGGGTGAAGTTCAAAGTGAACCCAAAGCACACTTGCTACTTGAGAACAAAGGAAATATTAAGTCTTTCCTCGGTATCCATGAGGGATTGGTTCTAGAACTTCCCTCAAATACCAAAACCCAAAGATACTCAAGTCCCTTATACAAAATAGCATTGTTTTTGCATATAACCTACACATCCTCCCATATACTTTAAATTATCTTCAGACAAAATGTAATACCTAAGACAATGTAAATGCTATGTAAATAGTTGCTATACTCTATTGTTTAGGGAATAATAACAAGAAAAAAGTCTGTATGTGTTCAGTACCAACGCAATTTTTTAAAAAATATTTTTCATCTGTGGTTGGTTGAATCCAAGAATGCAGAGCCCATGAATACAGAGGTCCGACTGTATTTTCATAATCCCTCCCCATAGTTACTGTTGTTACCTTAAAGCCTGTTGAGGATTTAGTAAGGAAGGATTCTATGGTCAAATAAATTTAGGGGACATCCCATTTTATATTTGCTCTTAGAGAAAGCACATTAGCATACTAAAGCTTACTTTTCTAATTTCTAATTTTAAAATCATTTGATTTCACATTAGCATAATAGAATTAAGCTTTTTAAATCAAATTCTTTCAAACCCTTTTATCTCACTTACAAAATAGTAATATTAAGAATACATGCTTTGAATCTACTGATAACACTTAAAATTATAATAAAGAATCTGTTTTTCTAAAAGCATCAAATGTATGACAGATAAAAAATGCAATAGAGGCCGGGTGCGTTGGCTCACGCCTGTAATCCCAGCACTTTGGGAGGCCAAGGCGGGCGGATCACGAGGTCAGGAGATCGAGACCATCCTGGCTAACACGGTGAAACCCCGTCTCTACTAAAAATACAAAAAAAATTAGCCGGGCGTGGTAGCGGGCGCCTGTAGTCCCAGCTACTCGGGAGGCTGAAGTAGGAGAATGGCGTGAACCCGGGAAGCGGAGCTTGCATTGAGCCAAGACCGCGCCACTGCAGTCCAGCCTGGGCGACAGCAAGACCCCGTCTCAAAAAAAAAAAAAAAAGAAAAAAAAAAAAAAGAAAATTAGCCAGGCATGGTGGCAGGCGTCTGTAGTCCCAGCTACTCGGGAGGCTGAGGCAGGAGAATGGTGTGAACCCGGGAGGCGAAGCTTGCAGTGAGCGGAGACGGGCCACTGCACTCCAGCCTGGGTGACAGAGTGAGACTCCGTCTCAAAAAAAAAAAAAATGCAATAGAAATGCAAAAATGGCCAGTTTTAAAGCATGAAATATATTTTATAAAATATATTAAATATAATAATATTATATAACAGTAAATTTTTAACAAAAAAGAGTTTACTATGTTATGGTTATTTAACTACTAATTACCCTGTTTGAACTATCTAATGTTTTCTAAAAAAAAAAATCTCAAAACTTTGAATCTTAAAACAGCAATGATTCATTAGTTTTCAATGGTAGGGGACAGATGTGTGCATTTTCTGTTCCATTGAGTCCTGGAACCCTGTACTCCTCCATATGGCCTCTCCCCTCTCCCCTGTTGCCTCTTTCCCTTTCTCTCCTCCCCTCTTCATTGCAACTAGTGTGCTTTCTCTGTAATCAGTAGTCTAACTTGGACATCCTCACAGCAGAGTGACAGGTCTTCAAAAAGAAGCAGAGAGGCTGCTTGTGGCTGAGTAGGATAATGGCATTCGCAGCAACCTGGATGAGATTAGACTATTATTCAAAGTGAAGAAACTCAGGAATGGAAAACCAAACATCTTATGTTCTCACTCATAAGTGGGAGCTAAGCTATGAGGATGCAAAGCCATAAGAATAACACAGTGGACTTTGGGGACTCAGGGGAAGTGTGGGAAGGGGGTGAGGGATAAAAGACTACAAATTGTGTGCAGGGTATACTGCTCCGGCGATTGGTGCACCAAAATCTCACAAATCACCACTAAATAACGTACTCATGTAACCAAACACCACCTGTTTCCCAATAACCTACGGAAATAAAAAAATTAAAAAAAAAAGAAGTAAAGAGGCTGTGTTTGGAAATCTCAGAGCCTCACTTTTGCTACAATCTATTGATTAAAGCAAGGGGAGAAGAGCTTGAATATTTTTCTTAACATAAGAGCACATCAGTGATTCAGTAATTTATAGCACATTTTAGAATCAACAATTAAAAATTTTTTCATTGTCTTGGATATATTTAAAGCATAAGAGGAACCAGACAAGTCGGTTCTTATTGCATATTTTATAAGATACTACTTAGCTCTAGGAAAGTTTCATAAATGCAAGGACTAGAACTTCTACAACTTCAAACATGAGAAATGTAAATATTATGTCTGTGTATATTTTTGAAATATACATATATGTGTATAACTCTAAACAATCACCTAAAAACTCCTCTAAATTTAATTTTAAAGCTTTCATTTAGTTTTTACTTTCTCAAAATTACTGAATTATCCTTAAAGCCCAGAAGTTTTCAACTGTGCTCAGTAGAGCCCTTGGGATGTCCTGTGGAGTTGCTACAGGGTCTATCATGCCTGAATTCTAAACCCAACCTACATCTCAATATTGAGAGGGTGGTGTCTATGCTGTTTTATTTATTTGTTTGTCAATATGAAGTTTCTTTAATGAATTAATTACTTACCTAGGAAGCATGGCCAAAACCTTACCAACAACTTTTTCTTGAAGAAATGAGGTTCCTGATAGATTTAATGACTTATTCAAGGTCAAGTAGCAAGTCTCTAAGACCTTCTTATATAGAAAACAAGTCTCTTGACTCAGAATTTTTGCTCTTCAAAACTACAGAGAATTTTTTTATACTTGTTATATTATGACAACAGTTGCATTATGTACAGAAAGAAGACTTGTGAGAAACCCCAAAAGACATAGATCAGGATTTCTTAACCTTGGAAGTATTGATCATTTTGTTCAGGTAACTATTTATTAGGCAGGGGCTCTCTTGTGTCTTACAGAATGTTTTGTGACCTTCCTTGCTGGGAGTGCCCTTCGTCCAGTTATGACAACCAAAAATGTCCCCTGACATTGTCAAATCTCTCCCTGTTGAGAACCACTGATACAGGAGAAAAACAGCCAATGGATGAAGGAAAAAGAAAAAAGAAAAAAATAACAAAGACAGGGTGCAATACCTGGGAACATCTATTTTCTTTGATAATTTTAGTAGCAACAAAATTTTCAGGATATACCTCTTTAAAGTTTCAAATAGGCTAGTAATTTGCCCTGTATACTTTTGGACTATGATAATATTATATTTTTATTTAATATATTTTATCCTTTATGCTTTTATTATTGAGTGGAATAATGACATTTTGTTATGCAGAAGATAGACTTATTATTTAGTATTTAAAATTTTTGATTATATATTTATTTGTGAAAAAATCACAATCAGTATAAACATGCTGCAAGATCTTTTTAAGGCTTTTAATTACAAATTTCACTAATTCCAACATTTTGGGGGTTTAGTTTCAGGTTTTCGCCATGCCATGTTAATATAAATTCACATCTGAGACTTTGTTAACCAAAAGTCATCAAAAAAGTTAAGAAGGACTCAGCATACTATAGATTTAAAAGTCAGAGCTGGGTCTGTCCTTCCCAATGGTAAAATTAAACCAAGTCTTAATTCAGCAGAAATTTAAATTAGCAGGGTTAGATCTTAAATAAGTAATTTTTGAGCTCTGGAAATCCTGTCTAAAAGAAAAATACACAGCTAATATGTCCTAGATATAAATCTGATCAAATCCAGATTTTTCAAATATTGCCGAATTTTTCTTATTAGGTACTGTGAAACTGTTGGATAGGAGCAAAATAGGATACATACATATATATATATATATATATATATATATCCTATTTATATAATTTATCTGTTAGAACTGCCCATGCCAAAGCAAATCAAACCATAGCTCCTCTAACACATGTGCCATGTCGTGCAGGTAAAATTCCTTTCTTAACAGACATCCTTGAAAACGTACAAAGGAGTTGACCAGTAACAGAAGGTCCATGTGTAACTGTGCCAGGGCGAGCATCCAAAGGCCAGGCAGGCTGTGTTTGAGTACACATCATGCTTAATGTTTTCTCTCCTATTCCTATTTTCTCTTATTTCCTATTTCTTATTCTTATGCAGCTCCATGTGACTTGTCCCTCAAAGCCCCTGAGATATCGATTTCTTCCTAACTTTACAGGATTTGAGAGATTCCTCTGATAATCCCCATTCTCAGAATGCCATCCCAGCCTTCAGCCCTGCCTGGTGAACCACAGTCCAGAGACTCTCCGTTGCAGTCTCCAGGTGTAAACTCAAACTGCCAGTCATGGTGTGGAAGGAGTTGCTTTCTGGCTGTGCAGGAAATCATAGGGAATTTGGGATCTAGCTGCTTCTAATACAGACTTTCAGCCAATCTTTCTATTTTTACACCAGTGTGTTTCCTTACATTGGAAGGTACCAGTTGCCTCCATTTTTGAGTCTTTTCCGGATTCTTTGGTGTGAATTGGAATTTCTTTTGCCATCTGTACCTGCAATCTACATATTATTTTTCTGGTGTGCTAATATTTTATAAAAAATACCATTATAACTAAAAATATTTAATATTTCTGCATAATATGTTATACATTAGAATACTTATTCTAAGTTTAAGGAGATAGCCCTTCCCTCCCACAAAGGTGCATCCTATGTTTTGCAGACAAATGTACTGATGGTTAAGGTGCAATATATTAATATTCAATAGATATATTTATAAATGTGGTAGCTACAATACACATCTGAATTTAAAGTATTTAAAAATTTGTAGTGTAGTTGATTTTTTTCTCCTTTCAGAGTTTCTTAGCTGTTTCTACTGCATCATTCACCATAACATGGAAAACACTGACAAAAATTAAAGAAAATATAAACACTAAGATGGTATTATGGCATCTGTGAAAACTCTAATCTCCTCTCTACCCTCTCTCAAAAACATGCCTGACTTCCCCCAAAATTTTTGTATAAGTTATATTGTGATTAGACAGGATAATTAAATTGTGCTGCAATTATTTGTCTTTAGCATATTGTGGTCCATTTTGGGGGTGCATGGGAGGTCAGCAGGAGAAAATCACAGCAGGGGAGTTAAGTATTTAAAATTTTGAGAACAGTTCTCTTCCCCAAAAAATCATGCATAGCAAAGACTTTCAGAGATATACATATGAATCCATGTAAAAAAGACACCAGAGGAAATATGTAAGTTCTGTAATGAAGAATATAATTTTTAAGAAAAAATCTAGCTTAGATTGATAGTCCTTGTTCAGCAATGAGGAAATATGTAAGTTCTGTAATGAAGAATATAATTTTTAAGAAAAAATCTAGGTTAGATTGATAGTCCTTGTTCAGCAATGAGGAAATATGCTAATTTATTTGTTAATAATAATAAATATGCCTATAGACTAATGCAGAAAATGATTTAAAAGTTTGAGTGGTGTTATTTATTATTTACTTGTACAACTACAGCATTGAGATGATAGAATTACAACATCTTCTTGTTACCAATGATAAAACTCTGAATTTTAAAATATATTATTATTTTTATCACTAATGTTAGTTTTAAGATGATTTAAGAAATTCATTCAGTCATTTCTGGAAAGTTCAAGTTAAACTATTAAATATAGCTATTATCTTTCACTAGAAAAGGAATTGCACTTTAAAGTTCAAACTAAGCAAACAGAATTTTAATGAGGTAGGTATTTTTAGTGGACTAATTTCTTCAAAGAAAGGATACTTCTATTCATTTAGCAAAATATTAGACATCTTTAAACTCTGCCCCTCTACAAACATCTGAAGCAAAAATATTTTACCAGACTTTAATATGATTTTCTGTCTTTTATTTCAAATGAGTCCATGTAAAATTCATGTAGATTAATGTGGATGTTAAATATATGGCAAAGCAAAATTAGGACAAAATGAAAAGCATATATGCTCTTACAAGTATTTTTCTAATGTTACCTCTTCTTAGAATTCCATTTTCTAGAATAAAGATGAGTTCAATTATTTTACTTTTGCAAGACTCATTCTTCAGAAGGAACTTACTCTTTGATGGTTTGAATTTTACTTAAAATTGCTTTGACATGCATCTTTAACTTAATACTATCGAACAATTTGAAATAGGAATGAAAAAATTTAAAATTTAAATTTCAATGATTACAGTAGATGTAAAACTGGAATCCTAAGCTTAATTTCATTATTTTAATATTCTGTTTTGCTGTTGAGGTATCTCAGTGTACTCAGTGTACTGTTGCCCAGAAGAACTTTCTACAGGTGGTACATGTGACAGCAGACTGTGAGCCTGCAGAGGGTCCATTCATGCTGAACATCTGTTGCCCTTAGATCCTGAAATTGAATGGTGTTTTTGAAATAAAGGATAAACAATTATTTTCTTTCTCATTGCCAATATCTGGCACTCAGATAAAAAGATAGCCAATGTCTCTAATGCCTTGCCCCAGTCTAAAGAGGACTGTGATGGTCAATTGTATGTGTTAACTCAACTGGGCCACAGGCTGCCCAGACATTTAGTTAAACATTATTCTGAATGTGTTTGCAAGGGTGTATCTGGATGAAATTACCATTCTAATAAATAGACCGAGTATAGCAAATTGCATTCCATAATGTGAGTGGGCCTCATCCAATCAGCTGATGGCCTAGATGGAACCAAAAGGCTGACTCTCCCCAAAGTAAGTGGATTCCTACTGCTTGATTGCCTTGATCTGGGACATTGTTTTTTTTCCTGCCAATGGATTAAATGGGAACATTAGCTCTTTCTGGATCTTGAGCCTGTCAGAATTTAGGCTGAGACTGCATCATTTCTCTCCCAATTCTCAGGGCTTAGGACTCAGACTGGAACTCCACCATTGGCTCTTCTGGGTCACCAGCTAGCTGATTGCAGATCTTGGGACTCATCAGCCTCCATTATCATTTGAACCAGCTTCTTATAATAAATCTCTCTCTCTCTCTTCTCTCTCTCTCTCTCTCTCTCTCTCTCTCTCTCTCTATATATATATATATATATATATACACATGTGTATATATATGTGTATATATATGCATATATTCATGTTTTGCATGCATATATATGCATATATTCATGTTTTGCATGCATATATATGCATATATACATATATACACATGTATATGCATATATATGCATATATGCATACAGACACACATTCTATTGGTTCTGTTTCCCTGGGGAACCCTGCCTAATATAGATTTTGATACTGGGAGTAGTCTAGAGGAAGATAATTTTAAAAATGAGTTTTCTGAATTGGTTCTGGGTTTCTAGAATTTGCTCTTTGATCTAGTTAGATTTAAAGATGCTAATAATTCTATATTCATTAGTAAAGAGAAGGCTGGTGGTCCATGGTGTTCTCTGGCAATAAAGATACACAAAACATCATCAGTGACACTCCTAATCAACCACTTGTAAGAGTCAAAGAAATTGGTACTTTGTATATGATACTTTTGAACATTTTTCTCAAACTAAAAAAATATAATAAGATTGGCTGGTCACTCCTAATGTTGTTGGACATGAGAAGGAAAATGATGAGCTTAGGAATTTAAATTTCCAGCTTAAGCACCACATAAATGATCTGAAAGCTTCTACGTGTCCCCTGAAGGAGTCCATTATCCTCTAGCCACAGGATAAAGTAGCCACAGGTCTGAAATTGCTGAATATCAAGTGCAGAATCTCATTCTGAATTACAATGCAAGTTGAGCTCTCAGACTCACAGGCTGTCTAATGTTAAAAGGAGGGTATTCATTGAGAAGGAGTGTGATCCTGAAAGTTGGAATGGCAATATGTGGAGAGTATTGATGAAGCTCAGGACATTGAGGCCCCAAATTCTCATGAGTTTTCTTTGCCAATGGAAGAGACCTCTCCACCACCAGTGGAAGCAACCCCCCCTACTCACAGTGGAAGTGACCTCTCTGCTTTTCAGAGTGAATTAATCCTGAATTGGCTAAGGAAACTATAATAGCTTCCCCCGAAGCAGTTGTCATGTAAGACAAAGGTGATTTTCTTCTGGACAGGCTATGACCATCCTTCTTTGCTTCTAGGCCTCTAACTAATCTGAATTCTATACAGGGCCCTAAAGGTTAGGTACAAAGTGTGGATCATGAGGAGACATGCTATAATCCAAGAGAACTGCTTGAGTTTTCTAGTTTATACAGACAGAAATCCAGGAAACATGTGGAAATGGATATTAAGAGTGTGGAATAGCAGCAGGTGCAACATAAATATGAACCAGGATGAATTTATCGATATGAGCTCACTTAGCAGAGATTCTGCATTTAGTGTTGCAGTTCAGGGAGTTCAAAAAGGCTCTATTTGGTTGTTTGGCTAAAACATGGACCGACAGATCACCCATAGTGAGCAAATCGAAATGCCTAAGCTGCCTTGGCTCAATGTGGAGAACGAGATTCAAATGTTCAGGGACACTAGAATGTTAGAGTAGATCTGCCATTTAAAATCTAGTCACCTAACCTGGGAGGGTCCAGAAGACATACCTTCTACCATGAATTCTACCATGATTGACAAATAAATTTGTGAAGGGAGCCCTGGCATCTTTGAAGTGCTCTGTGATCACTCTTCTCTGTAAGCCAGACCTCACAGTGAAAACTGAAGTCAATGTGGATGTGGTTACCATAATGGGCAGCACACTCAAAGCAGTAATCAGAGTAGTCTGACTTGCACAGGCCTATGGCACTGGTTAGGTCATCAGTGTGTTCCTAGAAGTAAAATAGGAAGCTTATTAAATTCTTCCTTGACCTAGTTATAATGTAGAACTTTAAAAGCAGCAAAGTTTTTAGTTAAATGAACAAAAGTCTAACCTGAACTATAAAAATGGAGAGTCACAATCATGACTCTCAATCAATTCCCAAACATAAGCCAGTTTATAGACCCAGCACCCCTTGAATAGAGGAAAAGACAAGTCCCCTTGAAGAAGGACCCAGAACAATGCCAAGAATTTATACT
Source organism: Homo sapiens (assembly GCF_000001405.40). Taxonomy (NCBI): domain Eukaryota; kingdom Metazoa; phylum Chordata; class Mammalia; order Primates; family Hominidae; genus Homo; species Homo sapiens. The sequence continues at coordinate 22,527,205 of NC_000005.10, read as the reverse complement.
AATTTATACTACTAGTCTTTCTTTTACCCTTTCCCAAAGGGACCTAAGAACTTTTAGCAGTTGAACTGTGCTTGGTACAAAATGAAATGAGAAGAACTTTTGGGGACTTTTGACACTGGTTCTGAACTGACACTAATTCTATAAGACTCAAAACATAACTGTAGCCCACCAGTCAGAGTAAGAGCTTATGGAGGCTAGAGGATCAATGGAGTTTTTGCTCAAGTTCACCTTATAGTAGGAACTGCAGGTCTCTGAACCCACCATGAGATAATTTCCCCAGGTGGGAAATGAATAATTGGAATACACATACTCAGCAGCTGGCAGAATCCACACATTGGTTCCCTGACCTGTAGTGTGAGGGATATTATAGTATAAAAGGCCAATTGGAAGCCACCAGAACTGCTTCTACCTAGGAAAATTGTAAGCTAAAAGCAATACCACACCTCTGGAGGGACTGCGAAGATTATTGCCACCATCAAGGACTTACAGATGTAGAGGAGTGATTCCCACCATATCCTAATTCAACTCATCTGTTTGGCCAGTGCTGAAGACAGATGGATCTTGGAAAATGACAGTGGAGTATCATAAGCTTAACCAGGTGGTGACATCAATTGCAGCTGCCGCACCAGATGTGTTTTCATTTCTTGAACAAATTAACACATTCTCTAATACCTGACATGCAGCTATTGATCTGGCAAATGGCTTTCTTCCTCTACACCCATCAATAAGGACCACTAAAAGTAGATTGCTTTAAGCTGACAGTGCTGGAAATACACCTTCATTGTCCTGTTTCAGGAGTATGTCCATTCTCCGGGTCTATGTCATAATTTAATATGCAGAAATATTGATCACCTTTCCCTTCTGCAAGATATCAAACTGGTCTATTACCATTGATGACATTATGCCAATTTGACCTGTGTTACAATTGAAAGATGAGTAAGTCAACATTGAACTTTCAGGGTTTTTTTAATTCCTGAAGTAACGTTTGCTTTTTCTTTTGTAAACAGAACAAAGCCTCTATTTTGCACAAATTTTATAGATTTAGTTAATATATAAAACACCGAATGTCAGTAGACTAACATATAATAGACACTCTATAAATATTTTTCATATTAGTGAAGAAATGAGTAAAGACTCTTTCGGCTTTGAGAAAGAAAGATTTATGCAGGCCACTACAAGGCAGACCAGTAGAGATAACTCCCTGAAACTTAGACTGGAATTGATGTTCTGAAAGGAATCATGCAAAGAGATAAATACTGTAAGTTTCTGTCTACTAATATACTTTCTTCTCATTTAGGTCATGATTTGGTAATCCTCACTATATTCTAGAATTCATCATCTGGAGGGAACCTGTTCTTGACATAGGTAGTTATGCTCATAACCCTTGGGTAAATTTTTAACACCAGGTTTTGAACAGTCTGCTCTTGGACTACATGACATGCAATTTTTTCTCCTTCCTACCCAGTACCCACAAGTAGAGCCCGAAGTTGCTTCTCTGAGGGGGAGCCTATGGCAAAGAAAGGTGAAAACAAAGAGAGATGGGGAGAAAGAGAGAAAAATTGGAAATGAGGTGTGGGGAGTTACATTCCAGTTATTGACATGTGTTGTAAAATTTTCTCGTCATACTAGGACATCTTTAATGCATTCCATTCCCTCCCTCCCTCCCTCTCTCCCTCCCTTCTTTCCTTCATTCCTTCCTTCCTTTCTCTCTCTCTCTTTCTCTCTCTCTTGCTCTCTCTCTCCAGAAAGCATACATTAGCCCATTTAATCAGAAACCAGCTTCTTAAGGGCATACCATTGCTTCCTGATGTAGATGGTTTAACTATCCACCAATATCCCCTGTCCCATTCTACTGAGTGTAACTTGGTCATGGTCATGTGATTTGTTTTGGTCAATAAAATATGAGATGTGCTGCTATAAAGACACATGCACATGTATGTTTATTGTGGCACTATTCACAATAGCAAAGACTTGGAACCAACCCAAATGTCCAACAATGATAGACTGGTTTAAGAAAATGTGGCACATACACACCATGGAATACTATGCAGCCATAAAACATGATGAGTTCATGTCCTTTGTAGGGACATGGATGAAGCTGGAAACCATCATTCTCAGCAAACTATCGCAAGGACAAAAAACCAAACACTGCATGTTCTCACTCGTAGGTGGGAATTGAATAATGAGAACACATGGACACAGGAAGGGGAACATCACACACTGGGACGGTTGTGGGGTGGAGGGAGGGGGGAGGGATAGCATTAGGAGATATACCTAATGTAAATGACGAGTTAATGGGTGCAGCACACCAACATGGCACATGTATACATATGTAACAAACCTGCATGTTGTGCACATGTACCCTAAAACTTAAAGTATAATAAAAAATAAATAAATAAAAATAAAAATAAAAATAAAATAAAATATGAGATGTGACATGTGTCACTTGGTGGACATACAATGTGAGCAATAAAGATGACTTACTGTCACAACCCACTCTGATATGGAAGCCTGTGTTGCTACAATATATGTAGCATGGTCTATTCCAACTGATACTGCAACATTGATACGTTTTCCAGGTATCCTATGTGACCGAACACCCCCAGTTCAATATGAAGTCAAGGAAATTGTCTCTTTATGCTGTCAACTAAAGAAAAAATGTTTTATATAATATATGCATGTCACACGTTTACAAGTAGTATAGTGTACAGTTTCAGTGCTTGGCCGTTTTAAAATATAGTAGGGTATATTAGACAATGAGACACATAATTGCCATAAGAGATGCACAAACTGGTGTTTCCAAAGGGAAAGGGATTATATCCCCCTGGGGAATTAAATAAAAGCAGTCAAAAGGGAGCTAGAATGTGAAATGAGTCTTGAAGGACAGAAAAATTTTTAAATGATAAAAATTATAAATGAGGCCAGGTGCAGTGTCTCACACCTATAATCCCAGCACTTTGGAAGGCCAAGGTGGGTGGATTGATTGAACTCAGGAGTTTGAGAAACGCCTGGGCAACAACATGGTGCAACTCTGTCTCTACAAAAAATACAAAAAATTAGCCAGATATGGTGGCGTGCGCCTGTGGTCCCACCTACTCAGGAGGCTGGGGTGGATGGATCACCTGAGCCCAGGGAGGTCAAGGCTGCAGTGAGCCGTAATGGCTCCACTGCACTGAAGCCTGGGTGATGGAGTGAAACCTTGTCTCAAAAAAAAAAAAAAAAAATAATAATAATAAATGAATGAAGCATAGAAGATTTCAGGTAATGGAAATAAAACACATTTGAGAATTTGGACAGTGGTTTTCACCTCAGCTAGAGAGTCAATCTAATGAGATCTGACTTAAATCCAGTACCTAGAGTCTTGAAAATGAAATTGGGTATATATTCCAGGGCCATATGCTAGACAACTAGAGAGGTCAGGGTGGAAAGAAAATAATTAAATAGTCTGGGAAGGCGTTAACAATGTTTGAAGAAGAGAGAATTATATGAGGCAACCTACAACTGAAAAATGCTGTCTGGTTTAAATTTTTTAAGTGATGAGAGAAGTGAAGTGAAGATATTAGTAAAGTCAATAATAAATGAGGAGCCATAAGGATTGACCTGCAACAGCAATAAGATAAGAAAAAGGACACTGACTATAAATAACGGTGTACACGTGGAACCTGAAATATTTGATATTTGCAAAAATAAGTTGAGGAGGAAATTAAAATTAATAGTTCAAGATACTTTGAAATGTGAGCTTCAGACAGTTGTAAAAAAATGCATTCTCTAGTGGATGTGCATGAGTTTGTTCTGGACCAGCTTACATTTTAATGGATAGAAGTGTATTCAGGAAAAGATGTCAAACAGTCTGTTGAAAATGGAAAGAAAAGAAACTGGAGCCTAGAGTGCATATATAGATATAGAATTTGCATAACATTTGAATATATGAAAGTAAATGAGATTACCATGGAAGGGAGTATAAAAAAGTACAAATATGACGTGAAATCAGCACCACCCCTTTCTTTAAAGAAAACGGAAAATAAAAGAATTCTAGGAAAAGATAAAGAAAAGCTAAGAAAGAGTTTTCAAAGTCAAGAGGGGAATTACCACATGAATTGCCATCTTAGGATCCAGATACCTAGTGCTAAGGCCAACCAGGAGGGATTTCTCCAGAATTGCAGGAAACCCTTAAGAAGTCAATTTCAGCAGAATAATGATGGCAGAGGATCGTGTGCATGAGGTATGATGTCTGAGTGGATGGCAAAGTTGTCCAGGGACATAGACTCTTTTTTCAAGAAATTTTTTAGTGAAAGACATAGGGAAGAAGTGAAAATAGTTTGAGGAATTAGGGGAGTGAGATCAGGTTAGAAGAGACCCATGCATGTTTGTAGGTGGAGGATTAGAAACTAGCAGAATGACAGAACACAAAATCACAGTTGAAGTATGATTCTGGAGGTAGTGAGAAAGAATAGATTCAGGAAGGTTGTGTTAACTGGCTTAGTGAAGTAGATGAGAGATTATAATATTTTGGAGAAAATAATAAAAGAGAGTAACAAATGAAACAGTTCATAGCTATTTGGAGTAAGAAGTAAGGAAGTTATAGGAATTCATGTAAGATCTTGTTCAGTGTGTAGAAGGAAGCTTCACTGCTGAGTCTAAGGAGGGTATGGAGGTATGGAGAAAATCTCAGTTTGGAGGACAACAACAATGAAATACAGAGAATCCGACTAGCTATGAATGTTCAGTGGAATTTTCAGTGTCTGCAAATAACAACAATTTTCCCAAGCAACACTTAAATATACCAGAGCAATAGTAGACAATGTACACAGTTGAGTAGTCTGTTAGAACAGAGCATGGGCTTTGGAGTCAAATTTAAAAATAGATATTTGATGCTCCAATTTAATTTACTGTTAGTGGAAACTTGGTCAGTTTATATGTTCATGATGAGCTTTTGGTTCCTAATCCATACTTCTACTCTTGTGTGGTTATTTCATTAGGGCCAACATAATATGTGCATTAATACCATACTAACTATAGTTTACCTAATCTAATTTTAGCTTATGTAATACTTAGTCATCTTCAAATGATGACTATGTCTTATCATAACTGAAAAACAATAATTCACTATGAAAGAATTAGTGTGTAAGGCTGTTGATATGAGAAATAATCAGAAACATAAAACTTTCCTGATACGCTTAATGACATACCACATTAATTATTGCTAGTTGTGACTTACAGGCAATGTTGGAATATAAATATTAAGTTCTTTTCAACAACTTTTTGCTAATTTGGTTGAGAACTGTGGTGTTAGACATCATAAAAATGAGTCTTATATAAGGTAGGAAACTCTATTTGGAGGTATCCACTTCGCTTTAACTTAGGAGTCAGAGATCGATAGGCTGCTGGTCAAATCTGGCTAGCCACCTCCTTTTGTAGATAATGTTTCACTGGAACTCATCCACGTTCATTCATTTAAGTACTGGCAAATATGGCTGCTTTCACACCACAAGAGTTGCAACAGAGACCATGTGGCTTGCTAAGCCTAAAATATTTAGTGTCTGGCTCCTTACAGAAAAGCTGGCTTATCTTTGTTTTAGCTAATAAACAAACATTACTATAAGTACCTAAATGTAATAGGTTACCATTCTAACAGTTAACATTTGTATTTATTCATGAGGAATCTCTATTACTTTTTAGCATGGTATAGAATATGTAGATTAGGTTTTTTACTTATCTGGAAGTTGATTCAGGGAAAATATTACATGTCCTGTCTATAATTTTTACTAAAGACCTAACTAAATATAAGTTCCACAATTTTAATATACTTTCTATTTCCTTTTACTTATCACATTCAAAGAATAAACTGTTAAACATTATATATACAAACTTCAGAACTACCATAAGACTAATAAAATAGATGAGTTTAAAAATGCAATTCATATATATTACTAAGATAAAATGCCATTAAATATTAATATAATAAAATATTAATTTCGATTAAGGATTATGCTTACCCCATCCAATTGCCCATTAAGTTACAAATATACAGTTTAGAATTCCAACTGATAAGATACACAACACTTTCAATAGAGATCTTTGCTTTTAATGATCTCTATATTACCAGAAACATGTAAGAGATATGAAATACAGCATCTCCTCTCCTTCTCCTACCTCCTGCCATGATACAGGATGCTCAGTTAAACAACACGCTTTACTAAGACAAAAAAAAAAAGAAAGAAAGAAAGAAGGGGAGCAAGCTTGATTGCTTGTCACACAAATAATGCAATGGAGCTAAAAACATCTAAAGAGGATTCATAATAAATAACTAACGGAAACCACGTGCAATATACTTACGTGTAACTAAACAAAGTATGATCCTTTTGACATAGTTCACGTCTCCTTGTCAGATATTTCAGTATGTTATATATATCTTAGTCACACTTGTAGTTATATACAAATAACTATATTGAATTTCTAAAACACCAACTAATAAGTCCTGTTTGCTTTATATAACGATCACTGAAGAGTGATACTTTCCTTACACTTTAGTTGACATCATTAGCTACAGACTTAATGTGTTGAGCTCCTCCACACCTTTATACACAGACTGTTTCTCATGCTCCAATAAATATTATTACCTATTTTTTTCTGTATTTTAAGCCAGGTTGGATAAGTAAGACTCCATGGCTGTATTATTCATACAAGTATCCATGCCCTCCAGACTAAATTGTTTTTAAGGGCACCTCCATAAGTGTTCTTTAGGTTACTTGAATCTAACTTATTTGCTGGATTCCTTATAATGGATGTTCTTATGTATAATGAAAACTAAAATGTTTTATCAAAAAATGTTGCATGCATATTTATCTATACTTGTTCATCTGTGGAATTATATTATGCAACTCTACCAATCCCTGTCTTATATAAATGTCAAGCTTCCATCATATACATGTAAATTTTGAATAGGTAAATAAAAATAAATTTTTATATAATGAATTGAAAAATAAATAACAATCACTATTCACATTGTGGCTTTTGTTACCTATTGAGCTGGTACTGGCTAGGACAGTTAACTTTTCTTCCTCGCTTAAGAAATTGCTTTAGTGTTTTTTCTTTTTATCTGTAGACAAACCCTTGTTTCTGCTCCAAAATCTCACATATAAAATGTAATTTACTTTCCTTTGGTTATAGCTTTTTCTCATCATAGAGTAAATTTTAACAGAGAAACATTTTTATATCTCTTAAACCAGAGAGAAAAAAAACAAGTCTATTATTTTATAAGAACGAATATGCTACCTCTACAATATACACAGGGTGCTCTATATTCCAGGCACTGTAATTTACAAACATTATTATATTGTATTTAAACCTCACCACAACTCCATGAACTACATAATATATGTATTTTACAAATAAATAATGTTTTAGCTATACAGTAAAATACTGTGGATCTGAACAGTATTGTTCAGCTATTCTGTGTTAACATTAGACATTGTAATTTGAAGCGCTCTTTCATTCTAACACGAAAGTTCCCAACTACCATAATTTGACCGAGGTGAGCAGATCACGAGGTCAGGAGATCAAGACCATCCTGACTAACATGGTCAAACCCCGTCTCTACTAAAAATACAAAAAATTAGCCGGGTGTGGTGACGGGCGCCTGTAGTCCCAGCTACTCAGGAGGCTGAGGCAGGAGAATGGCATGAACCCAGGAGGTGGAGTTTGCAGTGAGCCGAGATTGCACCACTAGACTCCAGCCTGGGTGACAGAGTGAGACTCCATCTCAAAAAAAAAAAAAAAAAGAGTGTGGATACGGAGTTGTCTGTAAATTGGAGTTGAATGTTGGCAAGTTGGACATGGTGAGAGAACTTTATTTTACTTTATATCTTCAATGTTCACACTAAAGTAAACATTGACATGGCCTATAGAGAATAAAAATGGTGGTGAAGAAGATATAGATACTTTTAAAAAAACATAAATAGATTTAATCGAGCAGTACAGCCCTTAGTCTTAGGCAAGGGAGGCCTTTGCTCTTAGTCCTGTGCCTCTTGGATACTGTCCAGTGCCTGGGACAAACTAAGACTCACAGTACCTGAGAAAAGGGCACCCCAATCTGGTCTGACATGAGTCCTAGTTGCCAAAATAATCTACCCCAAAATCTTCTGTCTTTCTCTGGTGGCATGGATGAGTTGGCATTGGCAATGCCACTTTGGTGTATTTCCCTGGACACTGGTACCAGGAGGTCACCCCATGCTAGGGGTGTCCAGTTCTCATGTCAGGCAGTCCTACAGGGATGACTAAGCCTGTCTCCCAAGAGCTTCTGAAGACAGTTGCACAGTAATACCAACGGGCCCTACCAATTCCTGTACTTTCTCTCTTGTTTCCAATCAATGTAGTGATACACACTACCCACAGCTTAGTTTTAAGCTGTGTTTACCAAAGGCACTCCTTGCATCAGTGAAACTGCTCTTTTTGCCCCATGCCATTGTCGTTGACTATTCTATTAGTTGGTGGCAGGGTGTGGAAGTCAGAGATAAGGTCAATATTGTGAAATATTACATGCTAAGAATTCAAGGCTTATGGTCTAATTCGTACAAGAAAAGGCATGGTTGAAAGATGTCTTTCAACATTTATGTCATAACACTTGAAACAGTAAATTTAACATGTCCAGAACAAAACAATAATCTTTCTCATTTTTTGATCTAACTTGGTAAATAATTGCATTTGTGGTTATCATTATCAAAGCGCAGATCCAAGCTTTGAGAGAGCCACTGAAAGCCAATATGCATGGAAACCACAATGGATGAGTGATGATATAAACTTCATTATATAAATGGCATTAGAGAAGTGGCAAGAAGAACTATATTATTCAATACAACAGGCTCCAAAGAGCCATTGTAATACTTCTGCTACATTTTCCTTGTGGAGAAACACATAAAATTATTCAGGAATGAGACATTTGACAGTAAATGATGAAGAGATGGTGCTTGGACTCTGTTAAGGACCTTCACATGTGATGTTTGAGTAAGAAACAAACACATTAATTCCTCTTGTCTACTTGTATTTGTGATCTTCATCAATAAATTACTATAACTCAGATGAGCCCATGGATTGTGTAGTACAGATTTAATCAATTTGCTTAAACAGACAGGGACCCCACAAAACTACCTGTCTTATCCTTGTACACTCTAGGGGTAACCCTATAAAAAGCTGCTGTAAGGAAGAACCAGGAAAATTAATGAAAGTAACATGAAAATGTTGCTGAGAAACATGAACGCCCAGTTGAGGTTGGAAGCCAGCCATTTGTAATCCATTAATGTATTAATGTGTGAGATATTTTCTCCCCCAGAACCCAGATGCTTGATTGTTGGAAAGGAAAAAATATATATTTGCCTAGATCCTAGTAAAATGTGAATAGAGAAACAAAAGACAGGAAGTAGAGAATAGAGACAAGGAAGTAACTAATTGTACTGTGGAACCATGACTAGATTAGGAAAAAATAAATAAACGTAAGCTGAAAAATTCTGTAGTCTGATGTCCTGTGCAATTTTTGGCAGCAGATGTTGATGCTTTATTTTGAGTTAGTGTATTAGTCAGAGTTCTCCAGAGAAACAGAACCAATAAGATTGTAGTTTGTAGTTTAAAAGAAAGGTTTTAATTTTAATAGTGTGGTTTTCTTCCACATATGGAGGCTATCAATCATTTACTTTACCAAAGTTTACCTAGTTTTGTGGCTGATAATATTCACTTAGCTTTGGAAATATTTTTTAAAATTCCCTTTGAACTTCAATATTTTCAGGTAAATATGATGTAACTTTGTTACCAGAGTGATAAACATAAAAGTGATGAATTTAAATTCTAGAGATTTTTTAAACGACTAAATTTTATAGTGGCAGAAGGCAAAATTTCAAAAATAATATTAATTAAATAAGTATTGAAAATGGAAAATACTTAAACATTATGTAGAATTTTAAAAGCCAACTCTAATTTTCAAGCATTTTAAAATAAACATTTCCAAAATGCTAAATATATCTTATTTTTAAACTGTAAAATACTTTAAAGTTATTTTATAAATAGTGGCTTTATCTTTCCTCTGCTGGTCTGTGTTTAGATCTAATGGTCTGTTTTTAAAATGTATATTATATTCTCCTACTGATATATAACCTTACTATAGCTATTTTTTAAAAAATTTTAAAAAGAAAATGTAATTCAATAATGAAAACAACAAAAATTAGCTTTTTGTAATCTGATTAATGTATTGCATTGTTTTTCGCATCTAAACTTCTTTCATCTGGTATTTTTTGTCCATTCATTTTTTAACACCTCTCCAATGTTTCTTTTCATTTCTGTATTAATATACTGTTTTTCTTTTTTCATTTTTTTCTAGTTGATATAATTAATATGCCACAATTTTACTTATAATTTTTATTTTGAAACAAGGTCTCGCTCTGTCCCTCAGGCTAGAGTGCAGTGGCACCATCATGGCTCACTGCAGCCTCAACTTCCCGGGCTCAAGTCATCCTCCCACTCCAGTCTCGCTAGTAGCTGGGGCTGCCGGCATGCATCACCATGCCCTGCTAATTTTTGTATTTTTTGTGGAGACAAGGTTTCGCCATGTTGCCCAGGCTGGTCTCGAACTCCTGGACACAAGCGATCCACCCACCTCAGCCTCCTAAAATGCTGGGATTACAGGTGTGACCCACTGCACCCAGCCACTTTTATTAACATTATATTGTGTGTTTATTATTACAGACATAGAACTTTATAACTACCAATATCAATAGATTATAGCAATTAGCTTCTTAATAAAAATGAAAAATAAAAACCTTATGTTTTCATAATTTTATTTTACTACTCCTTGGATTTTCTTGATTTAATAGAGCCATTTATTTCTTTCAGAAATTATAAATGGTATTTATATTCCATTTTTAAAATCTGTAATTAGAATTATTTATACATAGTGACAAATTATTTGTATTGGAGGGCTGTACTAATTTATATTTTTGTCAGTATTATATGAATATTCAATTGTTTGCCACATTCTCAACATTGGCCATTTGTGACATTTTATCTTGCCATCTTAGTTTATGTTCATAGTATCTCATTATGTCCTTAGTTTTACGACATAGTGCATTGCTTTCTTTACTAATCAGTTTGGGCATCATTAAATGGGGTTTAAGTCATGTGTATGTTATTTTTTAAATAACAGTTTAATGAGTTTCAACCATTTTTATAAGGTTATTTTTTCTTAATTGTATTGTACAATTGCTTCATATGATCAGGATAATAATTATTTGTCCTATAAAGTTTTTATATGTTGTATAGAAATTTACAAGCCTGTCTTTGTATGGGTAGAATTTTTTAGTACTTTTCTAACATTTTCTACTCCAAGTTGATAAAAATATTTTACTATATTTTGTATCAACAGTCTTACACTTTGATCTTTCACATTTAATTGCTTAGTCTACATAGAATTGCCTTTTGTATGTAGAGTGAGGTAGGGATATAAAAATTTTTAATTAGAGATCATCAAATTTCTCATTACTACATATCAAATAGTCTATGATTCCCTGTTATTTTTCACATCAGCTTTGCTGTATATTAGGTTTTCAGTGTGAGTTTGTGTATGTGTGTGTTTCAAGGCTCTCCCTTCCATTTCTAAATAATTATAAATAATGGGAAATACTTAAGCATCATGAAGAATTAAAAATGTCAACTATGTAGAATTATGTATTTATGTAGAATTTAAAATATCACATTCATTGATCAATATTTCTTTCCTATACTTCACGTCTCACTGTTTTAATCAATATATTTTGGTTTATTATTGAGCAGGACAATACCATCTCCCTTGTACTTATTTATTATTAATGTCTTAGCTATTCTAATCCTTTGTTCTTTCATGACATTCACTATCAGCTTTACAAGTTCCATGGGGAAAAATATCTGAATTCCTTTTACCTGGAATTCTTTGAATTGGTATATACTTAAATCCGATTCAATGACAGGATATGTCTTCCCACTTATTTAGTTCTTATTTAATAGTTATCAATCAAGTTTTACAATTGCATCACTAAAAGTATTATATCCTTTTCTTAAATTTATTTCTTGATACATATAATGAATATTGGTAAGGTAAGTGATTTTAAAATTATACCTTTATCTCCTGTTGCAAGGAGATAATTATTAAAATGCAATTATTAAAACAGTTATTAAAATGCAATTATTTAAACATTGTTCAGAAATTTTGCTAAAATCTCTTATTAATTGCATATCTTTGGTAGATGATCCTTTGAATTTTTAAAGTAAAACATAATCACATCTCTAAATAATGTCAGGTAGGGTTCTTCCTTTTTAATGTCTTTGTTATTTCTTGTTCTTCTTATCTTAGTGAACTATATCAGATATCCTTTGTGTTTTGTGATTTAAGACTCAACCTTGAAAATATCTTTGTGGTGTGAGTTGTGAGTTATTTTCTAAGGGGATGATTATGTTCATCTGGAAGGCACTGCACACCCAATCCACTTTAAATTCAAATCCTGATGTAAGGATTGATTTTGAACCAAACAAATAATGTAAATTAAATTCTCAAACTCAGATAAGAGCCTGCCAGGCCATACATCCTCAGAACAGATATTTGTCTTTAACAAAATTCTCTAGAAGCAACAATAAACTTTACTTGTTTTCTAATTTAGGAGATACTTTTTTTTTTTTAAGTGTATAGGCTTCCTGGGATCTGGTTATTTCTGGTTTTCTCCAATCCACCTTCAACCTGTGCCAGCTTCATAGATGCTAAATGAGTCACTTGATCTATAGCACTCTCCTCCCTGTGCTTGTCTTTCAGCTTTGCTGCACATTTTAGAACATCTCTTTTACTTTCTTTCATATTCAACCATTCACTTAAAAATATGTTTATGTGTTTCTGTGTATTTTTTTCAATTAATAATGTTCATGTATTTTGGTGACTTTTCTAATTTTCTATTTTATCTGGAATCTTCAGTGTGATTTTAAAGGTTATGATACTGTCAATTGACCGACTTCAGGCAGACATATTTTTATCTTACTCTGTGTTTTGACAACTTATCTTTCATATTTTAATTCATTTGACCCATAGTCTCTAATTTTACCATGAGAAAATTACTAATTAGTAATAATATTGCTATCATTTTATTATTATAAAATAATTGTATTATACTTATATTACTTAAAAATGTATCTACTTTCTTTCAAACATTATTTTTCGTAATGTGTTGTGCATTTTTTTTTTTTTTTTTTCCTGACACGGAGTCTCACAATGTGGCCCCGGGCTGGAGTGCAGTGGCAGGATCTCAGCTCACTGCAACCTCTGCCTCCCAGGTTCAAGCAATTCTCTTACCTCAACCTCCTAAGTAGCTGGGATTACAGGCACCCACCACCAAGCCCAGCTAATTTTTTTGTATTTTTAGTAGAGATGGGGTTTCACCGTGTTGGCTAGACTGGTCTCAAACTCCTGACCTCATGATTCACCTGCCTCAGTCTCCCAAAGTGCTGGGATTACAGGCGTGAGCCACCATGCCTGGCCTGTGTTGTGCATTCTAAGTACTCTATAACATCCTTCTATATTGCAAATTTTAGCCCAGGACTCCCATGGTATTTTGAATACAAAGATAGCAAACCAAGTCTAAAATACATTGCAAAGGTCTGTATAACCTTCTTTGATACGTAGAAGATACTCAGATGCTGTAGAATCTGAAGTTAGAAAGCTGGTGAGTATGATGCTCATTTCATGTTCATTATTCAGTGAAAGCTGGGAGACACTAAGGGCCTGGAGAGTGCTTGTGGGAGAAAAGCTGTCAATACATTTTTTTTTTTTTGAACCTGTTGTCAACTTTCCACACCTGGCTTTCTATGTTGTTGGTCTTCCTTTTCTAGTATAGTAATGCTCAGCTGTATCAGGAGAAAACTTGGCCATCTGCAGATATCCCCTTTAGTTTGTTTGTTGTTGGTGGTGGACCTCACAGTGTGGTTGCTTTTGCCTTTGAAGGAATTCTAAGTACCGTGCACCACAGATGCACTTCAGTTCCTCAGTCTTCTAATTTCAAGAGATATCAGTGGGATTTTACTGGGATTATTCTATTTTCTTTTATAACATGGTGTTTTTTAAATAAAATTATTACAGGGATCTTGGGATTATTATTATTATTATCTTTTTAGACAGCGTCTCGCCCTGTTGTCCAGTCTGGACTGCAGTGGCGGGATCTCGGCTCACTGCAACCTCCGCCTCCTGGGTTCAACCCTCCTGGGTTACCGGCACCTGCCACCACACCCAGCTAACTTTTTGTATTTTTAGTAGAGATGGGGTTTTGCCACGTTGACCAGGCTAGTCTTGAACTCCGAACTCAGATGATCCACCCGACTAGGCCTCCCAAAGTGTTGGGAATACAGGTGTGAGCCACCACTCCCAGCAGGGATTATTTTTGATGTTAGTAACATCTCACACATTTAGCAGCAATTTCTCTGATTCCATTCCTTACTTTCCTGCATTAGTACAGACTTCACCTCCTTTTAAAATCCTTTTCATTATCGTAGGGGCATTGGAAACAAGATGTATGTCTATGCCCAAGTTGCAGCTTCTTACAAGGAATTCTGTTACCCCACTATTGATAACCACATGTCCTCAGCTGATATTAGTCTTGGGTTTTCTTAGGTTAGCTGAAATGACCTCATGAATTGTGCTCTTGCAGACTGTACTTACCCCAAACTAGTGCCCTGGGTCTTGTTGAAGCACAACTACTACCTGATTTTTTTGACATGTCTCTCAGCTTACATTTTTCTGGTGTCATTTATTTTCATTGCTGTGCTTTTTTTACCACCACCCCACAGTGAAGTAGCTTAGCTAATTACAAGAGGATTTATCTTTATGCCAGAATCAGGTAGAAGAACACAAAGCAAGTGTATCTAATTCTTTAATATATCCTCTTTACTGATAAAATGAATCTCTACTCTTATCACTTTGTAAGCTAACAGCCTTCACTTAATATAGTCTTTTGTTGCCCTCGTGTTGTCTTTTATTAAAGTTCGTGACTCTGGCTCACTGTATTTTCTAATACTTATGTATCTATAACTCATCTTAGTAATACTGACGTGATTTTGTGATTGTTCCCCTTGGGTGTTAGGTATGATATTCTTAATTGTAACTATGATATAATAAAGCAAACCTTGAACTACCTTTTCTAACATCACACATGCTCAACAAACACACACAAACCCCATATATATAATTGAATGTACACACACACACACACACACACACAATCATAGTTACAAATATTTTCCAATGAGTTATAAGACCATTTTCATGAATTCATTAGTTGAAATAATTATGTAAGCAATTACTTATTTTTTGATTGTCATAACTGAAATGCTTTTCAAAAATGCCAGTGTTTTTAGGAATTTGAACAAAGCTATAGTTAACATCTTATAAACACGGGCAAGACTTTGTTTAGACATGCATATAGGAGCAGAATTCCTGCGGTCCAGGTTACCTGCATTTCACTTTTAGTAGATATTCCAAATGGTTCTTCAAAGCAGTTGTGTCCATGTGGATTACCAACCCACGATATGATTGAGAGCTTCCATCACTCCACATCCTTGCCAATTATTGATAATTTCAGACATTATCTTTATTATCTTTTTTGCCAACTAATTCAATGAGAAATTATGTGTTATTATTGTGCTTTTTTTGGATTTCTCTGATAATGGCTGTGGAATCATTTTTATATGCTTTTTAGAAGTCCTGTTTTTTTCTTTTTGTAAATATTCCATTTATAGATTTCCAAATTCAATACTTTATTGATTGTTGACATTCTTAATATTATCTTTACACTAAATTATGTTCCATGATTGGAAATATTTTCTCATAGTCAATGACATAGCTTTTCTTTTCTTTGCAAGTTTAGCTTTAAATATATGATTTTAATTTTAATTCAAATTTTGTGTTTTCAATATTTGTTTAAAGAAAGCTTTTCCTATTTCATAAAAATTATATATGTTGGCCAGCCATGGTGGCTCACGCCTCTAATCCCAGCACTTTGGGAGGCCGAGGCAGGTAGATCACTTGAGGTCAGGAGTTCAAGATCAGTTTGGCCAACATGGTGAAACCCTGTCTGTACTAAAAATACAAAAATTAGCTGAGCATGGTGGTGGGTGTCTGTAATCCCAGCTACTTAGGAGGCTGAGGCAGGAGAATTGCTTGAACCCAGGAGGTGGAGGTTGCAGTGAGCTGAGACCATGCCCTTGCACTCCAGTCTAGGCGACAAGAGCAAAACTCTGTCTCGGAAAAAAAAAAAAAAATTATATATGTTCTTGACTTTTAAACTGTTTCTCTTTCATGCATCTGAAAGTTATTTTTTATGTATGATATAATTAAAGAAACCTGTAACCAGCCTTATGTATTTGTGGAGCGTATGTTTTTGGATTCAACCAACCATAGATTGAACATAATTAGAAAAATAATTATAACAATGAAAAATAATACAAATTAATATCAATATGACATAGCAATTATTATAAGTAATCTAGAGATGATTTAAAGAATACAGGAGATGTGCATAGGTTATATGCAAATAATATTCCTTTTTACATAAAAGACTTGAGCGTCTGTGGCTCTTGATACCTAGGAGGGTCCTGGAACCAATCCCTTGTGGCTGCCTAAGGATGACTGTACTTTGATTTTGTGCATCTGCATGGTGGGTTTTTCCTATTCCACTTATTTAAAAGTCTGTTCTTTTCCCACTGATTTAAGTGAAACGTTCGTACATATTTATATGTATCATTTAGACTCTATGCCAATAACATACGTTTTTTTTCCATATTTTTATAACAATTTTTTTATATCGGATAGGGTAATTTTATGTTTCCAACAAAGTCTATTAACTTCTTGGGTTTTGTTCTTTCAAATGAATATTAGGATTAGCTATGGGTGGCCCATAGGACCACCTCTAGAGTAATATATAGAGAGAAAGCATTTTTGGTCAAATTTGTTTGTTATGTGTTTGACATGCTCTTCTTATAGTTTACATTCCTTCCATTTTCTCTGAAGGCTTTAAATGTGTATTATGTGTCTATTACAGATTATTCTATTATTATTAGTTCTTAAGAAATAAATTTTCTCTTTATCGCTCCACTGAGTTTCATTGAGGGTGTATTGTGTTCTCTCACATTTTTTTTTTTAAATTTTTTCCTTGTTATGGAATCTAGGGTCTTACGTTGTGAAAGAATCTCTTCAAGATATTTTGGTACTTGCTCTGCTGAGGTCCTACTGATTCTCCAGTGCTATACCATGCTTTATATTACTACTCTGGGTTGCATCCACCATATTATATATTTGGGCAAATCTGGAGTTTACACACATCAGGCTCAAGCTTGCCCTCTGCTTCTCAAGGTTAACCTCTTTCTATCTATGGCCAGTCTTGAACAGCTGGTATTTGTGCAGCTTCCCAATACTAGTGGACAGAAGATTTTTGTGTTTGTTTCTTTTTCTTCTAATTCCCATTCCATGATGGGACTACTCATTCTACAAACTAGTTGCATGTAAGCAGCTCATTATTAGTTCCTTCCTTCAAGCGACCCAAGATGCCTGAATTTCATTAACAACGTTGGTAATTGAAGCCTTATGGAAGCCATTCATACCCTTATTTTTCTGTGAAAATTTCCTGGATCATCAGTTACCACTCCTCTGACTTTATTGCTAGTAGCTTGAGATTTATTTTTTCTTCCTGTCAAGGTCCCCTGAAAGTTAATGTCACTGAAAGGTGTACTGTACCAGTAATCACACTTTATGAATGTAGTTTGCTTTTGACTTTAGAAAATATTTCCTTTAAAAACTTTTATGAGATTTGCTTAATTAAGCTCTTTCTAAAAATTATGTAGCCATAGTCTGACACTCTGGTTCTGTGGTTTTGTTCAGCTTGTCACACATAATTGCAGGTTATCAGTAGTCCTAGTCTGAAGGGAAAGAAATAGTTATTAGAGTTTCATTATTAAGTAACATCTATCCATCTCTCTAAGCAAGTTAATTATATGCCTGTCCTAGGTTGTCTTAAACAATATTTTAAAACACCCTTTCATTGTGTGTATATATTTCTGCTGCCTTAGCCATACACACTGTCTTGTAGTGAGATAGAGTCATGAGGAAGTTGTTTTATTAGAGTAATTTTTTTCTCCCCTATGGAAGCGGATAGGAAGTAGATCTATAAGTTGGTTATCAATGAAAATATTTGTAAAATATTTGAAGAGATTTATTCTGAGCCAAATGTGAGTGACCATGGCCTGTGACACAACCCTCAGGAAGTCCTGAGACTATGTGCCCAAGGTTGTCGGGGTACAGCTTGGTTTTATACATTTCAGGGAGGCATGAGACATCAATCAAATACATGTAAGACATACATTGGTTTGCTCCAGAAAGGTGGCACAACTCAAAGCTGTGGGGCGGGAGGGGGTGGTTTCCAGGCTGTAGGTAAATTTAAACATTTTCTGGTTGACTATTAGTTGAGTTTGTCTAAAGACCTGGGATTCATAGAAAGGAAATGTTCAAGTTAAGATCAAAGATTGTGGAGACCAAGGTTCTTTTGAGGTCTTATAGTGGCTGCCCTTAGAGACAACAGATGACAAATGCTTCCTATTCAGATCTTTAAAAGGTGCTAGACTTTTAGTTAACCTCTTTAGGATTGGGAAGGCCTGGAAGAAAAAGATCTACCTATGTTAATAGAAATTCTTTACAGATGCAAATTGTTCACCAGGAAGGACAGCTTTGCAGGGCCAGTTCAACATATGGCAAAGAAACATGTTTTGGGGTAAAATATTTTGATTTTCTTCCTTGTCTCCTAATGTGATGCCTGAGTCAGGTTGCAAAGTAAGTCACCATATACAAGGTTAAATAAAACCCATCTGTTGAGAATTGATGGTTTGTAGGGGATGACTCTCCAGACCCCTTAGATAGGAATTTGGGCAAGATAAAAAATTCAGAGCTTAATCCTCATGATCTATGGTAGGCTGGAAAATGACTTCCCAAAGACAGCCATGTTCTAATTCATAGAACCTTTGAATGTTAACCTATATGACAAGAAAGGGTCTTTGCAGCTGTGATTAAATAAAGGATCTTAAAACGAGGAGATTATCCTGTATTAGCTGAATAGGCCCAAATTATAAACACATGCATTCTTAAAAATGAGAGGCAGAAGATTTGAATACACAGAGGAAAAGGCAATGTAAAGGAGGAGGAAGAAATTTGAGGATGTTAGCCTTGAATACTGAAAGTGGCCACAAGGCAAGGCACGATGGCAGTCACCAGAAGCTGGAAGAGGCGAGAAATGGATTTTCCCCTAGACCCTCTGAAGGGATGGCAGCACCGTGACACCTTGATTTCATCTCAATCTTTTATTGATTTCAGAATTCTGACCTCCAAAACTGTGAGAGGATAAGTTTCTGTTGCTTTAAGCTACTACATTTATGGTAATTACTTGTCACAGCCACAGGAAACTGATACAGATGTTATTACATTCTAACCAAAATATCTAATATAGATGAAGGGAATGAAATGGCTTAGAATTTCTTGGAAGTTTATGTCTCACTTTAATGTTTTTTAAACCTAAAGATTTTGTTTGACAGGGAAGCCTTTATTAGTTATCAGAATAACAGAATGATAAAATGAGTTGGTGTTTTTACTTTCAGAAAATAAGTTATCCCATCTGGATTATTAGTCTACCTTGTTACTATCTGTATTTTCTACTAAACTTTTATAATAAAAATGTTAAACATTTATATATTCTGACTACTATTTAGCTGTAATGATTAACATGTACATTAATTATAATTATTTTATAATTTCATTAAAAATTACATTTTTTGCATAGGTATAATTGAGCTAACTCAGACTTTTTGTCTTAAAAATGAATTATATGAAAACATGGTCATAGTAATAGGTTGCCTCAATAGAAGAAAATATATTAGATCTTATAAAGCAGTATATATCTCCTCAAGTCCTTTTTATTGTTGCAGTCTATGGCATTTGGTGAAAAAACCATCAGGTAGCTGTGGTTGTATGCACACGGTATTAAAAGCTGCTTTTCTTTTTCAAGCGTAATGAACTTTAGTAGAAACGAATGAAAATAAATGTCCATGGGCTTTCTTAATGATTCTTCAGAATCAGGCATCATAAACATGTCCACTTGTGTGGACATCTTTATAAGAATCACTCTTGATATATTACTGAGAGAGGAGCATTTCATAAAGAAATGAAAAATGTGGTTTTAATATATACTCTATTGCACCCAAAATGCTGTTTATTTAATATAGATTAAGGAAGTTGAAGGTATCAGCCTGAAGTTAATAATATGAAGCTGGAGTTGAAGTTATCAGTATGAAATAATGTTATCTAATTATAGATACAGATTGATAGATATAGAGACAATTATGGATGTCTGCATATACACATTAATATAAATACATAAATTTCCCAGCTCACTTCACTGAGAGGGCTTAGAAGTAATGGCACCCCAGTGGCAAGGAACCATAACTAGTAGTCAGATCTTGGTTTCTCACCATTCTCTGATAAAAAGAACCAGAGATCCTTGAAAAAAAAAGGCTGAGTCTAGGTCTGAGGCAAGAAGATTATAACATTTATAGTATGCATTTTTAAATTAACATGGACTATCTTATCATGCCAGGACTTAAGGAAGTACTCACTAAACCAACCAATATGGTATGTCAAAAAAGACATAGAGGCTAATTGAAAGAGCTCACGAAGTCCAAAGCTAAAACAATTAGACCAACAAAATAAACAGTGTAGTATTGTATTATAACATGAAATACAAAATAAATATCCATGAGATTACACTGATACATATAAATTACTGAATGAATAAATGAATACACAAACAAGGAAACAAACAAATGGGGAGAATAGGTAAATTTCTCTCAGAAAATTTCAAATAATTTGTGTCATTTTCCCCTCCAGCAAATGGAGCTTAACTCTGTATCCCTTGACTGTGGGCTGCTTTTATTGACTTGCTTTCAAACAGTACAGTATGGAAAGGAGGAACAAAAGGAACTTTATAGTACGAAACGGTGGCAAACAGTACCCCAGTCAGCTGATCAAAATCTGTGTAAACAGAAATAAGTACCCCAGTCAGCTGATCAAGATCTGCATCAACAGCAATAAGGACTCCAGTCGGCTGACCAAGATCTGTCTCAACAGTAATAAGTACTCCAGTCAGCTGATCAAGATCTGTGTCAACAGTAATAAGTCATACTGATGACACACATACCCTTGATATGAAGTGACAAAAATGATACTTTATGGTCCTCCTCCCAAAAAACCATAACCCCAGTCTAATCATGAGAAATACATCAGCCAAATTGCAACTGAAGGACATTTTATAAATGTCTGACCATTGCTTTTCAAAACGTTCAAGGTCATCAAAAACAAGGAAAGTCTAAGAAACTATCACTGCCATGAGGAGGCCAAGGGGACATAATGACAAGGCAATGTGATATCCTGGAATAGAAAATGACATTAGGAGAAAAACTAGTGAACTCAATAATGTATCAATATTGGTTCATTTGGATCCATCTATCACAATGTATCACTATATATCACAATGTATCAAAAGCAGCATTGTAAGTACATTGTACATACATCAAAAGTACATTGAGAAATGCACTTATAATGTAAGATATTAGCAATAGTGATAATCAGGTGTGAGGTATACAGGAACTCTCTATACCATCTTTGCAACTTTTAAGAAAATGTAAAAATATTCTAAAATAAATGTTTATTAGAAAAGATAGTTAACATTCTGACTGTATATGTTTGTCTTTCCAGCTTTGTTACCTAACAGCTTGGCTCTTTTGGGAAATATAGACAAGCTGGAACCCAGGAGCAGTTGGGAGTTTTAAAGAATGCCAGCCTTTTTAAAGGTAGGTAAAAAAAATCTTATCAAGATATATGCTTTTACCTTCTTAATTAATACCTGAAAATGCAAATCCTATTTAAAACTTCTTTACTTAAAAAAATTTATTAGAAATCAAAATATTCAAATATTTGTATATTTACAAGGAGTTGACATAAACACAACAAAATCATGAAACTTGAAGTAACCAGTTATTTCTACATTTTTTAGAATATAGGATTCTTTATTTTTATAATTATTTATTTTTTAGCTTCTTTGTTTTATTTTTCCTCACAGTTTCATTTTACATGCCAATTTGAGAGGATCTAATGACTATGTTCCTCCTAAAAACAGAAAGTGATTTCTGCCTTTTTTATTCTGTTTTTTTATGATGCTTTGTCTAGTCCCTCATAATTAGCGGGTATTATTTTTGTTAAATTGGATACGTCTCATTTCAAAGGGAAACCTCTGTTGAAACTCTCACATAGGAAACAGAGATAAAGTCATAAATTTTCTCTTCTTTACGAATATTGATATGGCACAAACTGGTTCAATTGTTTCTTGCGCTGGCAATTGTAATCTGCTTTTCCTTTGCTGATGGTAGGAATCTAAACACTGAGATTTAGACAGTTACAGTTAACCTTCACAGACATAGTAATTAAAGTGCTGCTTTGACACTCCCCGCTTGGTAATGGGAGAATCTACCCTTACTTAGGCTGTAGTCAAAACAAGCTTTATATTCTCAGTTCTAATCAGAGATCAGTTAAGATTAACCATTGATATAACAACTCAGAAAGACAAGGTTGAAGAGATAAGGCAGATGTGTAATTAAACTAATGTGGCTTTATGAATCTTCCTGTGATGGTTTTCAAACTCTCTGTGCATGCCCATATTTCTGAAGTAGAAAGATGAAGCCTTTTCTTTTTCTTTCTCATTATCCTTTTATGAGATTAGCTTATTCAGTAAAGGTTAGGCTTTAGTGTAGTTTTAAAACATTATCAATTAATTTCAGCTATCAGATTTGAGGAAAAAAATACAAATTTTAGATTAACAATGTAAGATGGTAAGATTGAAATAGAATGAACCATTTAATATCTCAACTATTAATAATTCCTCTCCCCCCATGGTCATCTCTTTTATCTAGTAATTTGTTCTCATCAATATTCAAAATTTCTATGTAGAAAATTGCTTACCTTTTCTTTGTGAAATTTTTGCATTTTTTGTAGAAAATTTTAATTAATTTCTAAATCTCTGATCTTGGATAATTTTGGTTTGGGGTTTCAGTCCAGATCTTTTATTTATAGAATAAGAGAAGTGAACACTTTGAATTTAATTCCTATAAAAGGCAACTCCATATTCTTAAATATCCATGATTATATCAACCTCAGTATTATCTGTGATGCAAATATGAATAATGAATAATTGATACTAAGCCATTCCAATGATAAATGCAGCACTTTCTCTCCTTTTCTTTAAAGCATAACAGAGCATTAAAACATCCAAAGGCCCAGATAAATGAGAAGAGACTCATACTCCTCCCAAATGTCCTTTGGTTCACTCTGTGCTATGTACAACGATAAGAAGAAATAAAAATAGTTTGATATTTATTTAACATACAACTACTTTAAAGATAATAATTTGAGAAAGGATTAATTTAAAGAAATTGGCATGTTCATTTGTTTTTAATTAGAGTGGAATTCATATTGATGCAGAATGCATTTGAGGAGAATGGCTTGAAATTATTTTCTTTTTAATATGAGGATTTTCATAAATGCCACATAAGCAAATACAGCTGAGAATAATCTCAGTGGAATGCTATAACAAAATAGAGAGTGATAATCAAGAACAATGAATATATAGATTTCAAGCCATACTAACTGATTATTAACATTTCTTTATTAAGAAAGACAGTTTTCTTTTATCAATTTAACTTTTAATAGAGTAATGCTGTGGAGCCTGTTTATGATGTTACCACCCCCTTTTATAATTTTCTTTTTCAACAATCACATAGGGCAGTGTATTATTTCTTTAACATTTTGCAAAACTTACTCTCATTCTATTCATTTCTCACTTATATTCATGTTTACTTAAGTAATTGTATGAATTTATTATAAATCATGCAAAAAAGTAAAGGGAAAGAGAAAGGAAATAAATCTTTCTTCTTTCATATGGTTAGATGAGCATTCTTTGATCATTTATAGAATACCTTCTTGTTCCAGTATGAAAAATATGGTTGAAGTTGGCATTTTTTTTCTTCCTGTAGTAGTTGGAAAGAGTAGGAAAAATGCAGCCAAAGGACATTTGAACTAGACTATAAAGAGAAATAGATAAAAATATGTAAAGAAGAGGATATAGATGTATAAAAGGCACAAAGATATATGATATCATTTCATATGTGGTGAATTTAAAACCATTTGAGGAGTTAGAGAATGAAATGTGTGTCAAATATGGGAATAGCTGGCAGATAAATCCAGAAGAATAGGCTTAGATGATGAAGAAACTTTAATGAAATGAAAAATATGTCTGGGATTGGGGCTTTATCTTTTATAGGATGTGGAGCTGTGTTTTGTTGTTTTAGTCGGTTTGCTTTTGAATGTAGAAGAATAACCTGATGTGGAGGTTTTGTGTGTGTGTGTCTGTGTGTGCGTGTGTGTGTGTGTAAAGATGACTGCTGGCAATAGACTGGGAGATTATATATATATCAGATCTTTTGGGAGCACCAATTTAATTCTATTTCCATCTATCCTGTATAATTTCTTAGGAAATTAAATAATTATTCAAAAATAATTTATTTCAAGATATGTTTAAATAGTTTAGGGTTTTAACTAATGTATTAGTGTGTTCTCACGCTGCTAATAAAGACGTACCTGAGACTGGGTAGTTTATAAAGAAAAAGAGGTTTAATGGACTCACAGTTCCACATGGCTGGGGAGGCTGCACCATCATGGTGAAAGGCAAAGGAGGAGCAAAGGCACATCTTACATGGCAGCAGGCAAGAGAGTATATTCAGGGGAATATCCCTTTATAAAACCACCAGATCTCATGAGACTTATTCATTATCATAACAACAGCATGGGAAAGACCCACCCCATGATTCAATTACCTCCCACTGGGTGCCTCCTACAACATGTGGGAGTTATAGGAACTACAACTCAAGATGAAATTTGGATGGGGACACAAGCCAAACCATATCAACTATCAAGATTCCACTAATCCTTTATTTTATGAAGATGAGGATGCAAAGAGTGTCGACAAATGGAAAGTTTTGGAAGTGAGCTTTTCACTGACACAGAGGCAAACAAATCTAGGATCTGCCTTTTAAAAAGCAAGTCTTTAGGGCATTGGTATGAATATCAGGTCCTGACACTCAGAAAACATTGCCTTTCAGCAGTGATGAGGTGAAACAGAAACTGATGGAAACATGGAGGGAACAGCAGATCTGCTCAGCCAGGAGTGGATTTGAGTCTTTCTTTAGTGTTCACTGTGTCCTGCTGAGTTGACAATAGGGTTCAAAAAATGAATTGCAGAGCCATCTGTTTTTTTTTTTTTTTAATATACTTTGTAAGGCATAACTAAAAATCATTTGGTAAATTTTGTTCATGTGATATTCCCTGGCAGGTTATTGTTAGAGTTGCAATTAGCACATCTGAAGAAGATAAATGCAGGGATATTTCTAATTTTGGTAATTGTCAAAGGTTAATAATTTGAGACACGCCTGTTAGGATTTCACAATGGACTTGTCATTGGGAATTATGATTCATCATCTACACAGAATAACAAGGAGAGAAAAGAAAGGAAAAATACAGAAACAGTTGATTATTCCAAAGTAGACTCTACCAGACTTTTAATTCAGACGAAAGAGTTATTCCAATTACTCATGATTGCTTCAAGCCTTCAGATTATTAAAACAGGTTTACTACAAGTGAGACCAGCAGAAAAGAGTACATTAAAAAAGGTATCCCAGTCTTCCATGAATTATCCTTTATGTAATTTTCTATTTCTTTGCTTTGTGTTTAATTTAAATAGTCATAGATCAGATCACACGATGCTCTTAAAATCACACTCAAGAGACACAAAGGTCATTTACATGCATTTTATTCCATGGTGCATATTTTCAGTTAATCTTAAAGGTCACTTTCCTTCTGTGAGTCTAAATATTCAATGCCTTAAATAAAGATGAAAGATATAAATAAATAGAGGATCTTTTTTTTTTCTTTCTGCCTTTAAAGCTACCTTGTTATATTTCATGCTGCTTTGATTTTTTGTGATAGGTCACAATGCAGGTTATTGTGCTATCATTCAAATTAGCTTAAAATGCCCTTAGTACAGAAGCAAGGAAATACATACATGTTTTTTGTCCTAATCAGAAAAAAAAAATTATACTGCAGGAGTGATGAAGAGAATTCTTGGTTATGGTCTATGGGACAACAATCCATAATTTAGTTTGCAGATGTCTGTGTAATTTAAGCAGCAGGCAGAACAACCACACAGTTGTAGATGCTCTGGGGAAAGGATACCAAGAGGCTCATAAATCATGGTAAGGATTAAAACCAATGAGCATTCATCTTCTTAACCTCGTAAGGGAATATGGAAAAGCCAAGTATCAGAACATACTGAGCATGGAATCTTTGTGCAGCAATCAAAGATGTCAGAGTTTTTAAGGCCTCTCTCAATTAGCATTGACCTGTCATTTGCAAGTCAACAGAACATAATTTTAAAGTTGATTAAAAAGAGGCCCTTTCCATATCAAATTAAATTGAGGAAGTGATAAGATATGTTTCTGGGCCATAGTAAAAGTGGAGTCAAATTATATGGAAATGCTTATCATTTGCTTTGATTGAAATATGTTTCTTCTGGGGCAGTCTATGAAAAATGACCTTACAAATATCCAATCCATAACAACTGTCATGTTTAACTGAACATTTATAAATGGCTAAATGTCATGAGAAAATTCTAACTTCAAATAATCAAGGAAGGGAAATAGAGACAGCTGGCTCTCTCCTATAACATTTAGTAAATAAATGGTCTGTTACTAATTGTTTATATTTGAAAAATTATCCTAATCAAAGGTCTTTGGATTCAAATGAGTAATTCATACACAGTGAGGCAAGTTTCATTTTGTGTTGAAGATAGAAACTTTAATCAAATTTTAAAGCTTTTGAAAAAGGCTAATCTGTTAATTTCCCCAGTATTCTTTTAAATCAGGTTCATGATACAACTAAATTTGCCAATTTTATAAGAATGCCAAGACAGTGCAGGAAATAAAAAAAATCAGTTATTCAAGGACGATCATGAGCCTGTTAAGGAGATACAAACAGATTCAGTTTCTGATTCTGCAGTTTAATATAAATATCCCCTGGCAATGATTATTTTTAGGTAGTCAGTACATAATTATCTATTTTAGTTAAGGAGAACTGTAGTGTGGCCAGTGTGGCAGATAATTTTTTATATATATTTGGCATTGGAATATATTTTCGTTCATATTTTTAAATGATTTCATCTGACTTTTGAGAAAGTCACACTGCCTTATCTTTGAAAACAGCCAGAATAACATGCCAGATACTGTAATTTGGGCTACTTCTACACTGGGTATACCCTATTCTACACCCCATACTAGGGACGAATAACCATCTTTTCCATTTAGCAGGCAATAATATGCTCCTCTAGTTCAAATATCTTTTTCTGCTACCACTTTTTCTTCCTCTGGAATGGGGATTAAGTATGTATTCTTTGACACAAGCTCATATAATGATTTCAAAGTATATCAACTTTGTTACATTGTATAGCATTGCACTTCGTTTTTCTTGACCTGTTTTCTAACAAGACTGTGCTGCATTCCCCAGGAACCATTCTAGAGAAGGTAGATACAGAACTTTAGGTACCCAGCTAGACTTTTCTGCCATGTAAACTAAGACTGATTACTAAGATAAATATATGGGGAAATGTACATTTTATCTTTGAACTAAAAGTAGAATAAATCACTTTTCTTGACTACATAATAACCTTTGTCATTTAACCACACATTCGTGGATATTTCAGAATCTGCTAAAAATAGTAAAACTACCTTTTAAGAAGATCACACTGGGCTGAGCACGGTGGGTCATGCCTATAATCCTAGCACTTTGGGAGGCCAAGACAGGCGGATCACTTGAGGTCAGGAGTTCAAAACCAGCACTGGCCAAAATGGTGAAACCCTGTCCCTACTAAAAATCCAAAAAAAAAAAAAATTAGCCGGGTATGGTAGCAGGTGCCTGTAATCCCCGGTACTTGAGAGGCTGAGGCAGGAGAATCACTTGAACGGGGGAGACAGAGGTTGCAGTGAGCCAAGATCATGCCACTTCACTCCAGTCTGGGTGTCAGGGCAAGACTACGTCACAAAAAAAAAAAAAAAAAAAAGAAACAGAAAAAGAAAAAGAAGAGCACACTATTTGTATCTATGTCTACTTATATAAATTATATAAATTATTTTTAGTAATAATTATTAAATGAAAATAATTAGTTTGATTTAATCATTATATAATGCATGCATGTGTCTCACCATCATATTATACCCTGTAAACTTATACAATTATTACGTGTCAATTAAAACTACAACTAAAAAAGACTTAAACATTGGCAGACTAGATTTGAGAAATAATATTATATATCATATGTATATTTTTGGCATTCTTAAATGCTTTTGTATTTCAAATATGTTTGTAAACAGACATATTTGGGTGACATATTCTGGGTGACAGAGAGAAAAATAAGAATTCACTTTGCCCCTTTCATTTTTTCTCCTTAATAATTTTATCCCTAGTTTATATAAAATATCAGTAGGGGGATGGATTATAGACTCGTGGATTAATTTACTCAAATATGGTGTTGAAAATTGTCTCTATATTATTTTGTGTCAAGGATTCTTCTCTGGGTTGTGGATAAATTTATTAAAAAATCATTAAATGTTGTTAACCATGTTGGTGTTTACATTCTAGTGAGGAGAATACAAACAAGTTATTAAATTATATAATATTTAAATTATGTATAAATAAGTTTATAGAAAATGATAAATGCTATGCAGAAAATTAGCTGGGAAGAGTGCCAGGAAGTTTCTGTGTTGTACAGAGAAGGGGAAATGGTAGTTTGCAAATTCTGAAAATATGTTTCAAGAATATCTTCCTGATAAAATAACATTTGAAATGACTTGGAATAGATATGGGAGCAAAGCTTGAAAGTGTCTGAAGAAGAGCTTTCCAAATTAAATCACAAATTTCAAGTCGCTAAGGTAAGAGCTATTCAAAAACCAACAAGAAGGCCAGTGTGATGGAAACTTGTAGAGAGTGGAGAAAGATTATAGAAGAGGTTCAGCTGGGCACGGTGGCTCACGCTGGCTCATCCCTGTAATCCCAGCACTTTGGGAGACTGAGTTGGGCGGATCACTTGAGGTCAGGAGTTTGAGACCAGCCCAGCCAACATGGTGAAACCCCGTCTCTACTAAAAATACAAAAATTATCCCGGTGTGGACGCACATGTCTGTAATTCCAGCCACTTAGGAGGCTGAGGCAGGAGAATTGCTTGAACCTCGGAGGCTGAGGTTGCAGTGAGCCGAGATCACACCACTGCATTCCAGCCTAGGTGACAGAGCCAGATTACATCTCAAAAAAAAAAAAAAAAAAAAAAGAGATTCGACAGGCAGTGGGGCCTTGAGGGCATTGGAAGGACCTTGATGGTTTTATCTTTTCAGAGGACTTCTCTGGCTGATGTGTTGATAGTGCACTATAGAGGCCCAGGGGTGGAATTAGGAAGCTCCTTTTTAGGCAAGTACAACAACCTGGTGAGCAATGATACTAGGTGGGAACAGAGATACAGCAGAATAACGGGTGAGCAAAGGAAGGAAGGTTGAGACAAGATGATTGGTGATGTATTATATATGCAGTGTGAGGAAATGAGAAAGATCCAAGGTGAATTCATGGTATCTGGCCTGAGCAATGGGAATATAGCTTTGCCAGTAACTGAACAAATGAAGTCTGAGCTGCCTTTAGCCAACAAAGGAGAAATGTTGACTAGGAAATTTGATATATTCATACAAAATTCAGGGGTGAGTTCATCCTAGTAGATATGTTATATGATATTGACTAAGATTTGTTTATTTAAACAAACACATCACACTTTCTATGTCAGGCGTTATTCTATGATTTTAGTATGTGTTATGTTGTTTAATTAATCCTCATAAGAATTGTATGAGAAAGGCACTATTAACATTATGTTCATTTAGCAGATGAGAAAATGACGCTAAAAGTCTAAGGTAATATTTTCCAAGATCACACAGCTGGTAAGTGGCAGAATTGGGAGTCAGACCCAGGCACAATAGAATGATTTTACTCAACTTGACCCAGGATTTGATTACTAATGCAACAAGTTCAGACGAGAATAGATATCCAAGAACTAGGCTCGGGGGCATGGGAGTGAAAAACATCAGAGGAATGAAGAAAAATAAAAAGAGCAAAAGAAGTGGTCAGTGTAGGGTGAAGACAAGAAGTGTGGTGTTCTGAAATTAAATGAAGGAAGCCTTTCAACTGGGTCAATTGCTGCTGATGAATCTTAAAAGATCAAGACTGAGCACAGATGATTGGAATCACAACGTGGATTCCATTGTTTATGTTGACAACAGCAGTGTTGATGGATTGCTGAGCAAAAATTTTGATGAGAGCTACGAAAACAAAATAAAGACAGAATTAATTTTCAAGATCAAGGCAGAAGCTTGAAAGGAATTGCTGAGAAAGATTTATTTGGAATTTTTGTGCTATTTTAAAGCAAAGACATACTTATGGTTCCTAGTTCCAAATTCACAAAAACAATTTGTCATACACATTTCAAATGACCAAGGAGAGATTATAACAAAGTGACATAGATCAAAATCCATCTACATTATGTTGCAACATTTTCCCTAGAACATGTAAACTTAGAACCCCTCCAACAAAATTCTTAATTTTTATGTCATCAAAATTAGGATTAAATGGGTAATTCACCATGTTACTAACAAAGTAGCATTGACTCCTTTGGGCCTTTTAGGGTTGCCTGGACAGTTTAGGTTGCAGTGCTTAGCTGTGTTGGATATGTCACCAAACTGTAGAAGTGCCAAGCACAGGATTCATGTTGAATGGCCTAGTTTCCAATTCAGCTTAGCCATTTATCAGTAGTGACAAGTTACTTAACCTCTCCATTTCCCATTTCTTTCACCTACAACATGAAATAATATTGGTCCAAGAATCGTGTGCATCTAATAGGGTTGTTTATAAGGATTATGTAGTTCATATTTGCATACACTATTTCTGAAAGTTAGAACAGTGCCTGGTCTATAAGAAACCAGTTTAAGTGGTTTGTAAAAAAGTAAGTTCCATATTTCTGTTTTCCTCTAGAATTTTCAAGGAATAGAATGTTCCCCCTCTTCTGTGTTTCCCCGATGTCAAAATTCATGGATCCCCTTCCACTTCAAGAAAGCTAACTCACATTGCAATTATTAAGGGCGTCATACTCAGTTAATATTTCTTCTCATAGATTTCACTGCATTCTTAGTGGTTGTATGTTCTAAAGTTTATTTTTTCTTATATTTCTAAATTTGTTTTTTGCGCTGTGAATTACTTCACATTGATTTAATGAAATGTCTTAAATGAATATCTATTTCTGGCATATATGTATATGCATTCATACATATATATATTTATGTGTGTGTGTGTATATATATCTTCCAACTTGTCAGACTCTTTTCATGTTTCATACACCATAGCAAGACATCCCTCCCATATGGAAGCTGCTACTGAAACTCTTGACAGACATAAGGTCCTTGGATACAATAAATCATGTGTAAAGAACACATTTAGCCCCACCACCTTGTTAATTGAATTTATAACTAAAAACATTCCCATTTTCTCACTTTTAATAATATTTTTCCCAGTCATAAATAGCCAAATAACATAATCAATGTTCAAAAATTCTCAATGAACATCTTTAAGGAATGTTTCTGTGAAGAGTGGTAGGATCCTTTAGTTTTTTGCTGCATATGATGAGGCAGATGGAGAAATTCAGTTTTTAAGCATGATATTTATTCCATTTTTTTGTGTTGTTTGAAATTCATTTTTCCTCTTGCCCCAAGTGATGCCTGCCATCTAAGCACATGTTTGAAACCAGATAGAAAGCATATGTCCTGTATACCCGTGGGGTCTGACAGAAGGGGTGAAATATAGGATAACTGCTTCTTCAATTGTGCAAAAAGGAGTTTTTGTTGTTGTTGTTTTGCAAATGGTATTTCTTCAGAAGTGCAAGATGCTGTGTTGTAGCCTTTTGATAGTTTAATTATCGTCTCATTTTCTTTCAAAATTATATGAGTCTTCTTAACGATAGGGAATATTAAAGGTACGCATGAATGTATCCGGGGTATCACTACACCTTAAATTGAATTCTCCAGCCTCATCACAGAGTACTCCTTGTGTTTGCTGAGCAGCATAAGGTAATTCTAGTTATAAACTTGCACTAACCTTGTGTCTCACAGGCTCTTCATGGGATGGTCTTTGTTTTTCCAGCTTTTATTAGAGCCACTGCCCCACCTGGTAGAGTAAGTCCTCACTTAACATCATCAATAGGTTCTTGGAAACTGCAGCTTTATTCAAAATGCCATCTAATGAAACCAGTTTTACCATACGCTACTTGATATAAACAAGATGTAAGTTCCTGGAGCAGATTTCTGGTCACAAGAACATCACAAAACTTCAAAATAAAGATCAAAACACTTCTTACATTAGACATTGAAATACATGTGAGTTGTATGTACATTTAAGAGAGATGAATAAATGTAAATAAAGTAACTATTTACCCAATCATTTCAGTTCAGGGTTGTGGATAGCCGGAGCCTGCCCGCAGCTCAGGGTGAAAGGCGGGAACCCGCCCCAGACAGGGCACTGTTCCATTGTAGGGCATACTCACACCCACATCCACACCCACTCACACCAGGACCGTTTAGACACACCGATTCACCTAATGTGCACAGCTTTGGGATGAAGGAGGAAACCAGAAGACTTGGGGAAAACCCACGCCAATCTGGGGAGAACACACCAACTGCACAGACGGTGACCCTGGCTCAGATTCGACATTTTTTAGTCTCATCAACATTACTATGAAACAATGTCGAACAAAAGGTATTTTCTGAGGACTTACTGTACACCATGCTCGACCATATACAGTACAAAACTTTCATTCTCAACCACAGCCCTCCCAATTTGTGGGGGTTTCACATGATCACACTCTGCCCAGACACCTTTCTCCTCTTATCTGATCACCTGAACACTGCCTCCCCCAACCCTGGACCATCCCACTGCCAACAGCTTGTCCACTCATCCTAGAACCTGTGTCAGATTCCTTTTGTTTTGACCATCCCATCACATTGTTTATTGTCTGTTTAGTTATCTGTATCTAACATTACATTGCAGGCTTGTTTCCAGGTCCCATGGTCTCATCTAAGGCCCTGTGGCCTACTCTGCCCAATGGCCCATTCTCAGTTCAGTGTATTCTGTCCTTCTTTCAAGTACCCAGCCTTTCCTCCCATCTCACGGTATCCATAAACTTTTCCATCTTAATGGAATGGCTTTCTCCTCTTTTATTCATAATTACCTGGAAAAATTTTACCCAACTTTCAGATCATCTCAATGGATACTTCTTAAAGGAAAAAGTAAGGACAAAAAAAAAAATTTTTCAAAAAAAACCAAAAAAACTATTTTTGAAATAGTGCATGCTCCCTGTCCTCTAAAGCTATTTTCAGTACCAAGTAGAGTGCGTAGCATGTATCTATGCATGCATTAAATTTATTATATTCATTTTTCTAACGATTCATTCATTTATTCAAAAATTTTTCTCAATATATTTCATGCACCTATTTGAGTGCCTTGGTAGAGACTTCAACAAACCCAGTATGTTTCTGCTCCCCTGGAGTTCACATTGCAGTTGAGGGTGACAGAAAATCAACAAATGAATTATTAATTTATAAGATATGATTAAGGACTAATAATGCATAATAAAGCCAATCAAGGAAGTTGATGTATTAGAGGCACACTGGGAGTTTAATTCAGATTGGTGGTCAGAAAAGTTGCCTCTGACTTGAAGCCATTTAAGCCAAGATACGAGTAACTGAGAGGAATCCACGATGAGATCATGTGAGAAAAGAATTTACAATGGGAAGTAAAAACGAGTAGAGGGGACACCCAGGAGGGATAAGTTTGGCATATTTGTGGAACAAAAGTGAACACCACCGTGGCTTCAGTGGGCAAACAGAGAGAGATTGAGAAAGGATATGATATCTGATAAGTTGTCTGGAACCAAATCTTTCGGGTCTTTTTGGCTATGATGAGGAGTTTGGATCTTCTGTGTGCGATCGGTGGTCTTCAGAGTGGACTGAGCAAGGAAATGGCAGGATTATAAAACAAAAAATAATTGGTGACCTCAGGAGAGCAAGGGAGAAAAAACTTATTCCCACACAGGTGTGTGGGAATGCTATCTGGAAGGAGCCAGCCATTAAGACAGATCTTAAAGAGTGAGCAATATTCTGCAAATAAAGCCAATATAAGAACTGCATATTCATAGAGGAATGAATAAACAAAAGAAGTTTTAGAAAATGAAAAATCAGGCTGGATGCTGTGGCTCACTCCTGTAATCCCAGCACTTTGGGAGGCTGAGGCATGTGGATCACCAGAGGTCAGGAGTTTGCGACCAGCCTGACCAACATGATGAAACCCTGTCTCTACTAAAAATACAAAATTAGCTGGGGATGTTGGTGTATGCCTGTAATCCCAGCTACTCGGGAGGTTGAGGCAGGAGAATCACTTGACCCCGGGTGGCAGAGGTTGCAGTGAGCCAAAGTCATACCATTGCACTCCTGCCTGGGTGACAGAGCAAGACTCTGTCTCAAAAAAAAAAAAAAACATTTTTAGTAGGAGACTGTAGGCATGGAGTGTGGTATTTGTCTAGAAAGAAGTCTGGGAACGGAGACTGGAAAGTCCTGCTGTTTTCTTACTGGTTATCTCTGCTGTAGGGTCCTGCCCTGCAGCTTCTCTTTTGCACATCCTATATACTGAATTCTGGAGGTGAGAAGGAAATATTCTCCAGGGCGCTGTTATCTGTGCTTCTGCCAGGCTGTGTCTTGGCCATGGCTTCTGATCATCAAGAATGTCAACTGTTATGGGCTTAATTTTGTGTCCTCAAAATTCATATGCTAACGTCCCAACTCCCATTACCTCAGAATGTCACTGGAAATAAGATATTTAAAAGAAGTAATTAATTGAAAATGAGGTCGTTATAGTGAGCCCTAATCCAATGTGATTTATGTCCCATAAGAAGAGGACATTTGGCCACAGACACAGAGAGAAGACATCGTGAAGACAGGAGAAGACGGTCATCTACAAACCAGAGAAGTCGAACAGCCCTTTGCTCAGAGCTGTCAGAAGAAACAAGCCCTGCAAATACCTTGATTTTGGAATTCTAAACTCTAAAATTGTGAGACAATAATTGTCTATTGTTTAAGCCAAGCTTGTCCAACCCACAGCCCACAGCCAGTGGTCCAGGATGGCTCTGAATGTGGTCCAACACAAATTTGTAAACTTTCTTAAAACATTATGTTTTTGTTATTGTTGTTGTTTTTGTTTTTTTTTTTGTTTTTTTTTTTGCTCATTAGCTGTCCTTACTGTTGGTGTATTTTCTGTGTGGTCCAAGTCAATTCTTCTTCCAGTGTGGCCCAGGGATGCTGACAGATTGGACACCCCTATAAGCCATCTAGTCTTTGATATGTTATTATGGCAATCCTAGTTAACTAATAGATGATCCCATGAATTTTTGTAACATACAACAATTTGTCTACTTAAATGGAATCCAAATAAAGAAAACGTGGTATATGCATACCATGGAATACAACACAGCTATAAACAACTCAGGATAACAGCCTCCAGTTGCAACCATGTGCTTTGCAGCAACATGAATACAACTGGAGGCCATTATCCTAATTGAGTTAATGCAGAAACAGAAAACCACATACCACATGTTGTCACTCATAAGCAGGAACTAAACATCGGGTACACATGGGCACAAAGATGGGAACAATAAACATTGGGGATTGTATTATAAAAGTAGGGAGAGAGGAAGGGGAGGAAGCATTAAAAACTACCTATAAGGTAATATGTTCACTACTTGGGTGATGGGATCATTAGAAGCACAAACATCAGTGTCGTGCAATATACCTATGCAACAAACCTGCAAGTGGACCTCCTGAATCAAAAATTATAAACAAATAAGCAAATAGAAATGAGGAAGTTTGAAAAACAAAATAAAATAAAAGGAATCTAGGCTGTCCTGTATGTAAAGGGAAGAAACCATTGAACAGAATTGTGCTTCCACCTCCCTGGCTCACAATGACAGTTCTTGACAAAGTGTTGACTGCATCTCTCAAAACCTGTAAGGCTGTGCAATTAAAGGCAAGAGTGTTAGTTCTCCCTACATTTTCACTATAAAAAGGAGACTTACTTATCAACTAAATAATGTTCATAGGAGGTAGTTAGTTGTGTGGGGTTTATTTAAAATGTGTATATTTAGTAGAAGTAAGACAGCAAACTATGGCCATCCTCAGTTTTTTTTTAACTGATTAAAGATCAGTAATCTTTAATTACTTCAATTCTAAAGTTGAGAAATTTGCAGAGAGCCTTATTTTTTTTTTTCATTTTCATCTATGGATTTTCTGTCTTTGTGAATTTTTTTCTTATGAATGGGGGATATTTATCAGCACTTTCTCTTTCTCAATTCTCCTGTTCTCGATATGAAATGGCTTGTTATGCAGGTATTTCCTGGTTTGATTAACCCATTACTGCTCAAGGCAATAAAGAGAAAGCAGAACTCTATAACATCTAGATAAAACGGATTTCTTGGAATCAGGGTAGCAAAATTAGAATCAGTATAGAAGGAGTGAAAGCAATATTATAAGAGAATAAAAACTAACTTTATGTGATGCTCATATTCTCTTTATTTCAGCTGGGTTCAACTCAAAATTAGTTGTGTTTTTCCTGTGAGTGATATGCGTAATATCACATAAGAATATGGATGCTCTATGGTTTTAAATATTTTTCCAGCTATAATCAAAGGAAAAGGTGAAAACAATATATTTGTCACTATTGCTCTAGCTATTAAGATTGTATTACTTAAATCCAGTGGACATATAATTTAAAATTATACCTTATCTTCCTCAGTAGGCAAACTCAAACACTATTAAAGAGCAATATAAAAGTAGGACTTGTCATACATTTCCAAGACAATATTTCACTGTGTCTCACACCTGTAATCCCAGCACTTTGGGAGGCCGAGGCAGGATCTCACTTGAGCTCAGGAATTCAAGACCAGCCTGGGCAACATAGGGAGACCTCATTTCTACAGAAAAATTTTAAAATTAGCTGGGCATGTGCCTGTAGTTCCAGCTAATCCAGAGGCTGAGGAAGGAGGATTGCTTGATCCAGGGAGGTTGAGGCTGCAATGAACCGTATTTGTGCTCTAGCCTGGGCCACAGAGGGAGACCCTGCCTCAAAAAAAAAAAAAAAAAAAAAAAGTTACACTGCACAAGGCATCACAAAGCAGTTTTAAAATCTTCAGTCTTTACATTTACAGCTATAAAATTGCAGCATATGCAGCTAGTGTTTTTAATAAATAATATCCAATTAAAACTTAAACTCCTTGAGATTATTTTTTGTAGCTATATCTTCAATACCAAAATTGCGACTGAAATCATGCCAACAGTAGAAAGATCATTTTAATTCTAATGTCATTCCATGGCAAAATAAAAAGTTGATAACTCAGTTATCAAATGGCCTTTATTTTTAAGATTTACAGGTTGGTGTGAAAGTGATTGCAGTTTTTTCCATGAAAAGTAATACTGAAAAACTGTCCGGGCGTGGTGGCTCACGCCTGTAATCCCAGCACTTTGGGAGGCCGAGGCAGGTGGATCACGAGGTCAGGAGATTGAGACCATCCTGGCTAACACGGTGAAACCCCGTCTCTACTAAAAATACAAAAAATTAGCCAGGTGTGGTGGTGGGCACCTGTAGTCCCAGCTACTCAGGAGGCTGAGGCAGGAGAATGGCGTGAACCCAGGAGGTGGAGCTTGCAGTGAGCCGAGATCGTGCCACTGCACTCCAGCCTGGGCAACAGAGCGAGACTCTGTCTCAAAAAAAAAAAAAAAAAAAGGTGGTACCAAAAAACTGCAATTACTTTCACACCAACATAATAATAGAAAAAAAATGGCTGTCATAAGGGTACCAGGATTTTTAAAAATCAGATAATTTAAGACATGCAAGCATAGAAATGACTATCATTAAGGAAGAAGTTTTCATTCACAGTTCTCTAGAAACAGGGCCATGCCATGCCACATGGGACAACATAGGGAAGTACCAGTATTGGCCAGTAGATAGAGGGTGCAAGAGGCAAATGTGGCCAAATGAATCTTTATGGAAACCTTTGTGATTTCTGCAGGAGGGGCTGATGAGGCAGGGTAAGCAGGTTTAGGATGGGCTAGCTTGAAGAATTTCAGTGGCTCTTGGAAATAGGTGCAGTTCTTTGTTGTCTGGTAGTTGGCCCTAGGATAATTAGGGTAGATGGATAGTGGCCCAGAGTTTGAGAGCCCAGTAAAGAAGATGAGTAGAGGTATGGCCTCTGGATTGGTTGGTTTGCATGTGAAAGGCACATTCCCAGGGAATTGTTTGCTATCTCTTGGAATGAGCTAACCCTTTGAGGGGCAGTCCTTTCAGGATCAGTGAAGCCCCAAAATGTAAAAGCATTAAAATATGGGAAATAAAAGGCATAGTTAATAAAACTGCATTCACTTGACTTCCTTTACAAAATTGCAATTTTTTAAGATAGCCATGACACTGGAAAAATAAAAAACATTTAAATGATGGCAAGGTAAATTGACACCCACGGAAAAAAATATTTCTTTTATTTTGCACTATTTTCTCCATAAATGGCCATCTATATATGGTTTAAATGATTAAGTCATTTTTGCTGCGTTATTTAAAAGTAGTGAAGGAAAAGCAGACAACGAATATTGGCAGATTTTGTTTGAAGACTTACTTAGCTGTCAGTTTCAGGACTTTTCTGTATGAGGTGTGTCAAATCATGTTAAACTGGAACACTACAATTGTACGTTTCTTTGTTACAAAGTACTTTCCTATGAGTTACACC
Source organism: Homo sapiens (assembly GCF_000001405.40). NCBI lineage: Eukaryota > Metazoa > Chordata > Mammalia > Primates > Hominidae > Homo > Homo sapiens. Next base: position 22,488,062 of record NC_000005.10, on the reverse strand, counting down.
ATTCCCAATTCCAGAATATATTACATGACTTCTGCTTTTGCCATTAATACTTTACTGTGATGGACGTGGTATCAAAATAAGTTGTTAAAACCAATTGACATTTATATTATCAGACATGCCTGTTATATGAAATAAATATGATGGATTTACATAACTAGTCAAGCACATAATGTTGTTAAAAGTTAAATTTTAGTATGCAGAATTGCATGCCAATATTAAGCACAGTTCTCAGTTGCTCACATTTTCTTCTATGTTAATGTGAGCTGTTGGTCTGGATATGGGTATGCACATTAAAACACATGCAGGTGGTAGGTTTTGCTAGCCCTGAGGTAAGTAGGTTTTGCTTTCTTCAATTTTGTACTGATTTTTTTGCCATTAGTCAATGAGCAATGAATATTTTTGATATTGCATCTCTAATTTATATATTGACATACATTTTTACAGCTCCTAGACTCAGTGTTCAACTCAGCTTTCTGTTTTTATTTTGTTTTTGTTTTTGCTTTATTGTTCATTTAATGTATGTATATCCTTGTATCTATTACTTTTTGTGCCCTCAAGTTTCACTGTCTTTCACCTGGCAGTTAAATTACAGCATTTCCTCTATCAGATCCAGGAAATCCCTGATTTTTCCTTCTATTATTGTCAAATTATGTGATTATGCGATATACATTTTATCCCTGTTTTTTACCTTGTTGTCCACTATATACTCTAATAATCAATATCCTTTCTTGTTTTGATTGTTTGTTCAAAATATATGCATTGGCCAGGTACAGTGGCTCATGCCTGTAATCCCAGGACTTTGGGAGGTCAAGGAGGGTGGATCACCTGAGGTCAGGAGTTCGAAATCAGCTTGGCCAACATGACGAAACCCCATCTCTACTAAAATACAAAAATTAGTGGGGCGTGGTGGCACATGCCTGTAATCCCAGCTACTCAGGAGGCTGAGGCAGGAGAATCGCTTGAACCCAGTAGGCAGAGGTTGCAGCAAGCTGAGATCATGCCACACACACACAAAAAAAGCCGTATGTATATATGCATTTTCCTCAGTATGCATTTAATCTTAATCAAACACATTTATGGTTTGCCCCCAGACATGGCGCTCTCTGACCCCTAAGTTAGGCCAGAAGATCTTTGCAAACACTTGACCTCAATGAACTTCCAGGTCTAGATGTGAAAGTTGGAGATAATGACCACCTCACTGTGCAACTAATGATTATGTATCATCATAATTACCCATAATTATGTCTGGTTTTAAGTAGGCCTTTTCAAATCTCTACCACCAGAACTATTGGTTAAAATTACAAGTTACTGGCCGGGCACAGTGGCTCATGCCTGTAATCCCAGCACTTTGGGAGGCCAAGACAGGCGGATCACCTGAGGTCAGAGTTCAAGACCAGCCTGACCAATATGGAGAAACCCCATCTCTACCAAAAATACAAAAAAATTAGCCAGGAATGGTGGCACATACCTGTAATTCCAGCTACTCGGGAGGCTGAGGCAGGAGAATCGCTTGAACCTGGGAGGCGGAGGTTCCGGTGAGCCGAGATCGTGTCATTGAACTCCAGCCTGGGCAACAAGAGGGAAACTCTGTCTCAAAAAAAAAAAAAAAAAAAAAATTACTAGTTACCACTTCTCATCCTTTTGCTTCATCTGTAATTCAAAGCCTATTTCTACTTGTTGTATTGACTTAGATTATCACAAGATGAGTTTTTTGTGTGTCTTACTTTAACATCTGGAAGGCAATAAAGTGATAATATTAGTTAGTGGGTGGTGACTTTTATATCTAGGACCACAATGTTCTGAAGGACCTAGTGTATGATAGGAAAGGTGACAATTTCTGAGACTATAACTAGAACTATGTTTCAGAGGAGAAAGGAGAGTTGTCATGAAGCCAGTGCCAGCAAGGACATCATGGGAAGAAACAGAGAGGTGATTCTGGCTGGGGCAACCAGTAGAAAACACTTGATGAGGAGAGGCTGAGGGCAGGCACGGGGCAGCAGCTATGTGCAGCTGACAGTGGGTGAGGCTTTCCAGCTGCGTTGGTCCTGCTTCCTTGGAAGTCACTTTGAAAAAGGTCCCTTATCCAGTGCTGAAGACATGCCACTATTGGACCAGAAATGCTTTAACCCTATTGCCCCTCTTGGGCTGTGTATTCTTTTGCTCTGATATCCTCCTAGCAAAATATTTCTTAATAAAAACATTAGAAATGTATGAGTAAATCAAGAAAATGGAAAGGTAGGCATTTGTGTCATTATTTTGATATGATTAATTTCTCCCTTGTAGCTAAGGTGTTTTCCTCTATTATTTGGAAAATCATAAAACAATTTCTTCCATGCTGTACCTGTTTTGTTAGTCCATGTGAATATATAAGATAAGGTAAAATCTAACTTAAAGCTATGTTGTAAACTTTAAGGCTAAAGAGAACAGAAAAGAAAATGGAAGATAAAACTATACAAATAATACTCTAAATCTAATTTAATACAAATGCTTTCTGGAGAAAATCCAAATGATTTAACTTTATGTTGGCCAGGGGAAAAAAGCATAAGAATAAAAAGGATGAAAAATATATTTTAAGAAAGGATAATTGTCCATTCCTATAATCCCTGCACATTGGATGGCTGAAGAAGGAGTCTTGCTTGAAGCCAGGAGTTTAAGACCAGCTTGGGCAACATAGCAAGGACCTGTCTCTTTTAAAACAATGTATATGTTTTTAATTAACTGGGCATGGTGGCATGTGCCTGCAGTCCCTACTGCTCTGGAGGCTGAGATGGGAGGATCACTTGAGCCCAGGAATTGAAGGTTCCAGTGAACTAATATGAGGCCACTGCATTCCAGCCTGGGTGACACAGTGAGATTCTGTCTCTAAAAAAAAAGAAAAGAAAAGAAAAGCTTGTGCAGTATACCAAATTTCTCCATAAATAAGATAATAAACAATGGACAAGTTTTTATACACCTGAACAACATTCATGTGGTGTATTTTCATTGAAATATCAATGTAGAAGTACATAGAAATTTTCCTTTACAAAAAACTGCATTATACATTTTCTAAGATAGTAAGGTAAAATTCTATTTTCCCTAATATTTTTTAGATCTTTACAAATATGTATCCAAAGACCCTTGAAGAATGACTATGTAATTATATACTCATTCTTCAAGAGTCTTTGGATATTATATATAATATGTTGTTATTGTTCTACTATATTATTATGTAATCCTGTTATTACATAAATCAAAATAGGAGAAATATGTATGTGTAATTTGAAGAAACATATTTGTGCAATATAAGCAATTGCTAGAATTTGGCCTAATTTCTGTGAGACTCACATGTGCCAGGAGGGATGGCAAATGTTTCTATTTCCTCATCCTATTTATTGTTGTTGTTCTTTATACTTTGTCGGTGCTGGCATCTCCCTGCTGATTTAGTACATATATTGTTAAAAAACAGGTTTGCCTTTACTTCAAGGCTTCAAGTTTGAAGGAATTGAGTCCATGTCAGTACTGTCTAGTCCAAGTTCATGGTGATCGTCTTTCCTTCCACATTCAGTGTTTACTGGCTGCACAATTCTCATTATGCTTTCAATATACTTTTCATGTCTCAAACTGAAGGAGTGTGCAACATGATTAAAGAAGTAGAGTTGGGAGACAGAGTTCAGATCCAAGTATGTCTAAAGCTGTGTCTACTCTCTTTAATTCTCCACTTTGCTTCCCCTCAAAATCGTTGTCTTCCAAGCAAACCTCACATCATGCATCTGCCTAAGACCTACCCGTGAAATCCCTCACTTTCAAGCAAGCCACTGGTGATAGAAAGTCAGAGGATAAATGCTAATTTAGCATAAATATATTTTGTAATATATGCTTTTACTTTTCAATAAATCATAAATACTGTTTTTTAGAAAAATGATGTTTCTGGAGGAGAAAAAGAAGATAATCAATATCACTTGTAACCTAGCATCCAAATATATCAATATTTTCTTTGTGACTTTCTTGAATTTTCTATGCATTATTTCTAGTTTTTAAGTTTAGCAACACTACACTCCACCTTTTAGATAAAGTATGTTTGCTATAAACAATTTCTTACGGTTAGAAGAAGTTTGTTTCTGAAATTTGGAATTCCCGATCTTATATGGCCCCTGATATCTTCTATCACTTATTTCTCATTTTCTATACTCATGTCTTACCTGAACCTGAATATTAGCTCACTACAACCTCCAATTCCTGGGCTCAAGTGATCCTCCCATCTCAGCCTTCAGAGTAGTAGGGACTACAGCCACATGCCACCATGCCCAATTAATTAAATTTATATATATATATATAGTTTTGAAAGAGACAGGTCCTTGCTATGTTGCCCAACCTGGTCTTATCCTGGTTTCAACCTGGATAGGCTGATTTCAATTCTGCATAAGGTTTCCTATATTTCTGTTCCCTATGTGGCCAAATTTTTCCAGCAGATATTCACAAAGCTCATTCCCTCACTGTGTACAGAGCTCTACTCGCCTACCTCCTTGTCATAGGGTCTTCCATCACTACATGGTCTTAGAGTAACAAGCCCAGCAACTATCTATCACTTAAAAGGCTTTACTTGTTTACTTTTCTTCGATTTGCATTTCACCACTAGGAAATCATCTTCATGTTTGCAGAAATCATGTCTACAGCTGTATTCCCAATACCTAGAACAGCTCCTGGCATAGTGTAGGTATTCAATAAATAGTTATTTAAAAAAAGAATGTGTTCATATATATTGTAGTTTTCAATGTTTGTTTAAAATTTGTGTCTCTAAGTAGATTTTTAAAAACTTGAGACAGCAGAAGTGTCTTAAAATTTTTTGTTCAACCTTTCCTGCAGTTAATAGACGTGACATGGCAAAAATTTTGACATGACATAGTCTCAAAAGTGGTTACATTTTCCAGAAACTTTTCATTATAAAGCCTGTATTTTCTTTTCTAATTTCATTGATCAATTAAAAAAATCTGTATATCTTCAAAGTAACAAAGAGAAGAGAAGGGTGGTAGTTGAAGAGAAGGGGGAGGTGTGAGTTTCTTCCTATATACTTTCCAAAAGTCACTAGATAATTTTTTAAGAAACTTGACTAAATTACCAGCTAGGCAAATGAAGCATTGCATTGTCAGAGGAGATCCATCACTGAAAGAACACACTGGCCATATGGATGAATTGACTGCATTGGTTTGGACATTTTATGATGGACATTTATCAATTTATCATCTTCCAAGGTGAATGGTATATATTTTTTGGGAAAATCCCCGACACAATCATATTTATTAGCTTGGTAGAGATTTGATGATGGCATGTAGGCTTAACATACGATAGTGAGTAAAACAGAGAATATGAGGCATAATCAAGAAAATGTGTTTTAATATCTTACTAAGGGTTAAATTCCACTATTCTCTTATGCTGACAACATTAAACCTTAATATTATGCTAAAAATTTTTCTAAACTGGATTTCATTAAAAAATCTTATAAAATGTGGAAAATTACTTTCTATTACAGATGGTTTTATAAGAAGAATATGGGTAAAGTTATATACATGATAAGTTTTAAATATTTGATTTGCTAGCAAGAATGTTTTTCTCTGGTTTCAGCTAGGTTTGTTCAACATAAAGGTACGTAGAGGGGAAGACTACTTTTTGGGCTAAATTGGAGATTTTTTTCTTGATAATAAATCTGCACAAGGTAGAGTCAAGAGAGCAAATGATCAGCTAACATGTCAAGCATGCTGTGAGGTCCTTTATAGACCTGATTGTGTGGCGGGAAAATATTGTCTTCACAAAATATATGAGGAAGTCTACTGGATTATGCTTCAGAATCCTGGTTCTTTTTGAACTCGGTTTTCTTATCTGAAATATGACGGCCTACCAAATAACATATAAAATTAGGACTCTTAGTTGGTATTCTCTCATTTTAACGTTCATGGGTTCTTTCCTCAAGTAGTCCCTATCCCAATAGAAATCAGGATTTTGTAGATAATTGTTTTGAAAGTTTACATGGACTTCATTGATTTTCTTTCTTTTGCCTTCAGTCATGATCCACATTAATTTGTTTAACAGCTTCATTGGTGCATAATTGATATACTAAAATACAACATATAATTAATGTATATAATTTTACAAATAACTTATCCTTCACTCTAAAAGTTTCCTCATACCCCCTCGTTTTGTTTTTTTCTTAAGTGCAAGCGCACTTAACATGAGATCTACCCTCTTAACAAGTTTTTTACAAAACAGTGTTTTAACTGCACAAAACTGTATGGTTGATTATAGGCACTGTGTTGTACAGCAGATCTGTAGAACTTGTTTATCTTGCATTACTGACACTTTACACTCATTAAAAGTGACTCCTTATGTCTTCCTTCCATCAGCTCCTGGCAACTATCATTCTACTCTCTGCTTCTTTGAGTTTGAATATTTCAGATACTTCATGTGAGTGGAAGATGCAGCATTTTTCCTGTGACTGGCTTGTTTCTCTTAACAATGTCCTTCAGATTCATCCATATTGTTGCAAATGGCAGGCTTTCCTTATTTTTTAAGGCTCAATAATATACCACTGTAAATACGCCACATTTTCTCTATCAATTCATCTGTAGCTTTAGGTTGATTTAGATTGTTTTCTGTATCTTGCCAGTTATGTCTTATGCTGCCATGAACATGAAGGTACAGATATTTCTTTGAGATCCTGATTTCAATTTTCTGAATATCGATAACCGGAAGTGAGATTACTGGATCATATAGTAATTCTATTTTTAATTTTTAAGAAAACGCTGTACTGTTTTCTATAGCAGCTGAACCATTTTACATTCCCATCAACAGTGTACAAGAGTTCCCATTTCTTCAGATCTTTGCCAACACTTGTTATCTTTTGTTTGTTTAAAACAGAATCCTAACAGGCATGAGGCGATATCTCACTGTTGTTTTGATTTGTATCTCAATTTTGGCAATTAGTGAATTTAGGCTGAAAACAATAATCAAATATGAACATAAGAGATAACAGGTAATACTATCTGAAAAGTCATAATAATTTTTTTAATACTAGTCAATAACCCACAAAGACTAAATAACATATTTTACCTTGATTGATAAAAATACATAGAAGAAAATATGTTATAAATAATTTCTTGCTGGAAAAATATTTGCATTTCTTTTTTAAATGATACTGCATTTCAGAAGAATTTGCGTGAGCATTGCAAATACTGATAATCTTTTGAAATGATGAAGAATAAACTTTTAAAAACCCTGGATCTGTGCCCTGCCTCCCAGGGGTAATCTCTCTGCCTGTTTAGCCTGACACCTGGGCATTTGCAATGGAAAAAACTATGGCAGTCCTATTGATCGGCAACACCTTTGGAAACTTGTTTGAGGAAAAGCTCATGCACTTCTGTTAGGGTTAAGATTGTGCACTTTGGGCAATGTGTCCTTTGGACACTATTGGATAAAATTGAATGCAAGGTGTATTTTTTTTTTTTTTTTTGAGATAGGGCTTCACTGTTGCCCACACTCGAGTGCAGTGGTACAATCCCGGCTCACTGCAGCCTCAAATTCCTGGGCTCAGGTGATTCTCCCGTCTTTTGTCTCCTGAGTAGCTGGGACCACAGGCATGCACCACCATGTCTGGCTCATTTTTTGTATTTTTTGTAGAGACAAAGTTTCACCATGTTTCCCAGGATGGTCTCCAACTCCTGGGCTCAAGCGATGGGCTTACCTTGGCCTTGCAAAGTGCTGGGATTACAGGCGTGAGCCACCACACTCCACCTCTAAGTGTATTTTAAATGTACTTTGCTCCTGGTAAAGTCCAGTAAAAAAGAAAAAAAAAGTCAAAAACCAAAACTCTTTTTGAAAAAAAAATGATGTCCTAAAAATAACTTAGGGAGGCAACAACAGCAAAATTATCTTGAAGCCTATGTGTTTGCTTAAGTCTAATATCTGCCATGATCTGTGTGAACAAAAATATGAGAAAATTCTAGTTGATGCGAAATTTGCTACTCATTCAAAGTTCTGACATTTTAAAATCTTTTCTAAATTGATAGAAACAATGGGTTACCTAACTTTTAGAGGAAGGATAGGATCTTTATTTTTAATTACTTAATAAAATAGTGATATAGAGGACTTAATTTTGGGGGGCTGGGGGCAAATCAAGAGAAGTCACAGTAGACTGAGAATTTAATGTGTTGATTTGTTTGTCTTTGGCTTCATTTTAGTTCTCTTTTAATTACATACAGGCCAGTAAAGACATATGAAACATTACAAAAATTAGAAATTAAAAGGCAAACAAATGTGCGCTCATTTCAAATATTAATCTTTGACACATTTTAATGAACTATTATAACTTTTATTGAAATGTGACTTTGAATTTCTTACAGAAGGCTCATGTCATTATCCATTTTCCAACAAATAGATAATGATTTAGATGCTGTTTTAAATGTTTACGATTAGTCCAATAAACTTTTAGGTAACACCAGGAATTCTCTATCCAGCATATCTATTCAAGTCAACAAGCTGGAGAGCCCTCCCTCACCCTGCAAATTTTAAGATAGATGTCTTTTCCTCAGAAAGGCCATATCCCTGCCATGAAATCTCTGTGGACATTCTTATGCAGTGCATCGAGGCTCCAAAACTTGTCTAACTTCTGTGCTATATTCATCTGTGTCTTTTTCTTTTAGTGTCTACCTCTCTCACTGTTAGCTCAAAGTAATTAGTGTTGTGCCTGGCACTTAGTAGCAGACAAGTAAATGCTTTTAAAAGATGTTGAACAAATACTTGTTATAGTCCACTAGGAACTGTTACCAAAATTAAGAATGCAAAAATGAAAGAGACTAGATTTAAATCATAAGGCATATTGTGAAGATTATGTTTAAAAGTAATCTTATTATCTTCAGCAGTTTTATCTGAAACAAGAAAATGTTGATGATAAATACCTTCCTCAGTAATAGCAGGGCAGACCTGCTGCTGTAGGCCCTGATATCTGAAATATGAATCTATTGCAAACCGTTGCTTTTCTTTTGCATGTATCCAGATAATGGCCTCTAAATCACCCTATGGATGATAAGAACCCAAAACATGAACATGTTAGAACACTTTGAAATATTAATACAGCTAATTGGACTTAGAGCATCATTCTCTTTGATAAAGAGCAAACAGAAAACATTTTCCTCCATTTCGTTCTTTAATTACACTAGGAAAAGACCTTTCAAAATTATCTAAATGATAGCATCAGTCTGTTAGCATTTTTAGGAAAGGCAAACAAAAAAATAACACCAAGATCAATATTTATGATATAGAGGGTTTAATTATGTGAGTAAATGGAAGCACTTTGCGATTTTAAATCCATAATTAACAACAAATGATGGGGCTTTTTTCCCCTCATCAATTCAACCTATCTAGTAAGCAGCATAAGTCTTTCAGGCTCTGAGGACAGAAGTCAATGCACCATCATAAAACATTTGCTCTTGATATTATTTATTAGTATCTTTGTTGACAGAGGTAGCTAAATTTTTACTTCTCTACTTGAACAAGAACTTCTCTTTTAGTTATGGTTCATATATTTAGCTGGTAAAGGTTGTTTACTAGATTGCTTTACATTCTTTTCTTTAAAAATCAACTGAAAATTATTTCTTTCTTTTTTTTTTTTTTTTTTTTGAGACGGAGTCTCGCTCTGTCGCCCAGGCTGGAGGGCAGTGGCGCGGTCTCTGCTCACTGAAAGCTCCGCCTCCCAGGTTCACGCCATTCTCCTGCCTCAGCCTCCCGAGTAGCTGGGACTACAGGCGCCCGCCACCTCGCCCGGCTTATTTTTTGTATATTTAGTAGAGACGGAGTTTCACGGTGTTAGCCAGGATGGTCTCGATCTCCTGACCTCATGATCCACCCGCCTCGGCCTCCCAAAGTGCTGGGATTACAGGCGTGAGCCACCGTGCCTGGCCTATTTTTCAATATTCAAAAAAATTAACAATAAAATTTCCATTTAAATAGGATTCCTCCCTTGCTTAGAACATGTTACCAAATACTGACTTTCTCAGGGAATATATAATGAGTCTAATCCCCTACTTGGATTAAAAGTGCCTTTTTATGTTTAAAGTAACCTGATCTTATTTAGAAAATGCCACGAGACACAACTGATAATGGAAAGGTTAACTCATTTTTATCATTCTCAGAGAACTAAGTTTCTTCACCAGAGTAGGTTTGTGGATGTGACATAAGATGTTACACTTTAGCAAAAGCTGTACAGCACCATTTATTGTAATCAGTGTAGGTGAAAGAGTTGGAATCCTAAGCGTCCTTATTGCTCATGAGGTTTTTGTTGTTGGCCGCTTTTCATTGTTGTTTTGCTTTTTAGCAGTGAGGGTAGTCCAATAGTGTTATTAACTGTATGAAGAGTAGGGCCATTGTGGAAGACACTGTAGTGGCTCCTCAAAGACCTAAAGATAGAAGTACCATTTGACCCAGCAATCCCATTACTGAGTATATGCCAAAAGGAATATAAATCATTGTATCATAGACTCATGCATGCATACGTTCATTGCAGTACTATCCACAATAGCAAAGACATGGAATCAACCTAAGTGTCCATCAATGATAGACCAGGCAAAGAAAATGTGGTACATATACACCATGAAATACTACGCAGCCATAAAAGAAAATGAGATCATATCCTTTGTAGGAACATGGATGGAGCTAGATGCCATTATCTTTAGCAAACTAACACACTAACAGAAAACCAAAAACCACATGTTCTCACTTACAAGTAGGGGCTAAATGATGAGAACATATAGAGGGGAAGGACACAGGCTGGGACTTTTTGGAGGGTGAAAGGTGAGAGGAGGGAAAGCATTGGGAAAACGTCTAAGGGGTTTTAGATTAACTAGGGTTAATATCTTGCTGATGAAATAATCTGTACAACAAAACCCCATGACACAAGTTTACCTATGTAACAAACCTGCACTTGTACTCCTGAACTTAAAGTTAAGAAAACATAAACAGTAGGGTGTTTTTTGTGTATGCGTGTGTATAACCGTTGAGATACGTGGATAAAGCCTAATAATTCTCCAGTTACAAGAAAAAAGGCCTATTGATGGGCCTTGGGGCAGATTTTTGGTAAATCACCACAATCCACCTCAGTATGGTAACTCCACCACTGTGTGCCTACCAGCTTCCTCAGTTATAAAAATAGGTAAAAGATGTGTGATTGGGACTCTGTAGTTTGGAATCCACTTGATATCAGATATTGTATAATCTATAATTGACTCTAAAATTCAAATATCGAGTATAGTTCACCCTATATAGTGAATATTATATAAATACTGTATACAATTTTGGTACACCAATTACAAGATAAATCTATAGACAATTTTTAGAACAGTCACTTCAATATATTAACATTACTTTGAGTAGTATTTTATACAAATAAATATATTGGTTACATGTAAGATGAGGTAATATCATTTATACTCAATTTAATAATTTACGACAATACTATGTAGTCAGCAGCAATAGAGAGAAGGGTAGCAGGATTGTGAGGGATTTCATAGAAATTTCATTAATGGTGTTCCTGATTTATTAATTTGGGAGAAAAAGGAGGAGACCTGATTACTGCACAAAATGTGTGATACCCATAAGTTTCCTAAAATGTGAATTTTATGTTTAATATAGATTAATCATTTCTTAACATCAATTTAATTGTACTATTTAATATGAATGATGTGTACCATTCAATAAACAATAAAACATATAATTTGGTTTAATTCCTTAACTTATCTTAAATGCATCAAGATCAGGTTATTTATATAGCTACAATTTTAAAAATTCAGATATGTATGAATTACCAATCTGTTTGCCTAAGTATAGAATTATACTGAAATTAATATCAACGTTAATGAAAAATAAGCAGAATTTCCAAACAGGGTAAGTAGATAGCTGATAGTGACAGTGATAAATACATAAAATGTCAACATCATTTTAGCTCAAATTCATATAAAAACAGAAAAGTAGAATAGTTACATGAAGGGAGGAATAATTTGGAAAGCAATTATACAGGTGAATGCTTACATTTTTTCATAAAATATACTAGCAGAGGATTTAGCATTTAGATGGAAGGCAGTTTCTCATTACTAGTTTTTATTAGTATATAGATGGTTCAAAGAAAAAAATAATCTCTAGAAAATTTTGTGAGTGATTTATGAAATCTTGTTTTTGAAAGGCCAGGTAAATTACAGCTAATACAGTTTCGAGTATTTAAAAGTAATTCAAAATTTGCATTTAGAATATCTTGTTTCTTGGGAAAGATTAAAGTTACTGATTTCTTTTCAACTATAATATATGTTTTTAAAGATTAAAATGCAATTTCTTAGTTTTGGAAGAAAAAAGGTTTTGGGGAAAGCTGAATGAAAAAGTTCAAAGGAAAGAAGTCTAGTGATTTTGCATTATAGGATATAGTTTACTTTTATATAATGTAATAGATTTAACTTCACTTGCATTGCAATTAGAATCCTAGTGACTCTAATATGAAATAGAAACTATATTCTTATTGTTAAATTCAGTATCGTGGTGCATCCCTTCTGCTGGAAATGTATTTATATTAATATAGTCAATATTTTTATTTTCTTTTATATTGTTAAATACTTTCACATATTCTAATACCTTTCACCTAAAATATAAATTACAGACCCAGAAAGGGTATATTAAATCATTTCCTATTAATCGGTTAGTTATTTTTTCTTTAGTAATTATAAAATGCATGCATTTTCATTTGAAGTATAGACTTAAAACATTTCCCGAAGAAAATTCAAGTAATTCACAATAGTATAAATAAGACATTTACAATCATTCTAGATCATTTCACCCAACTAGAAATGCTATAAGCATTTTGGGGCCATCCATTTGGACAATATGACTTTGAGATTCAAGGATGAGGGTCTTCTTCCCTGCTCAGAATGTTCCCTGGTTCCACCTCTTGCCAAGAGGGGATGAGTTCCAGAATTCAAGACAAAGTGCCTACTAGATATGCAAACACCCCCTCTAGTCAACCATTCAGGACTTGCTTCCAGGATTTTGCTTAGTAGTAGAGATGGGACCTCATCTATCTAACCTGGACTTCAGAGCTGTTATAAAGGTTTGTCAAAAATAGGAGAATAGAATGTATGTAATAATTTGTTAGTTTGGTTCATTAATTATTACTAATGAGAAATATTCTATGTGATTCTTTATTTGTACTATGGCTTGGTTCCTGAAAATATGAGAGTTGGACCTGCTTTGGGGACAGCTTTCTACAATAATGCATGTAAACAAAACAAAAATTGAAAGACGTTTCTCTGTGATGATCAATATCCACATTCTGATCTATGTATTGTATATGACCATTAATAACCTGATGTATTATGCATCATCTTAGTTTTCCTCTGCTAAGGCTATCTGTCTCTCTGGTCATGTGTATCCACTTAATTACACATTCACAATGGAAATAATCATTGTTCATCACCATAACTCTACCAGATTAATTCCCTTTCCAATATTCTCCTTTACTATTGATTTACTCTAATGTTAACAATCACCTATGGAGTTTCTCATGAGTAGTTTCTATTGCTGTCTATTTGACCACTCAGTTATCCATTTCTTTCAGAACTCAGTTGGATTTATTTCTTTATTCTTGATCATGCCACTCCGATGAGAATCATTCACTGTGGTCTAATTTCTGCAGTTTTTCTTGGTTGACTCCCCTGACATCATGTGTCTTCCTCCATCAGTCCATGTGTCCAGGTGATCTGCTACAATTATTTGAAAATACAGTTCTTGGCTTTTCCTTTGGGACCCAGCTGCAGTCATCATTCATTTCTTTGTAACTAACCTGCAGCCACTTCACTCTCTGACGAAGTCATCAGCATTATTACATCCTTCTCTGTTTTTCAGGAAATATTCGTGAAAGAAAATAAGTAATCCTCTGCAGTATCACATCATACCTTGTGACTCATTACTAAATTCTTAGTTAAATGGACCAACTCTCTGGCAATACTCTGTGTTATGTAAGAAGATGAGCTTTTGCTTCATCATGTATTTCATCATCTATTGTTTCATCATTTAATGGTTGTATCACATTGGGCCAGTTATTCAAATTATCTATGTCTCAGGGCATTTTTCTCTTCAAATTTAGAGGGTTTTATTCTATACTCAGATTGAATTTCAACCCAACTTTTTGAGATAATGTTATTGAGAAGGAGACAGGTTGACACTGAGAAATGTCAGTCCGATTTTCCATTACACTATATATATCAATTTACACTATATCAGCCTTACCATTTATAAACCTTAGAAATTCACAAAAATAAAATCCACATATTATAGTAATTTAGAAAGGCTATGATAAATGTGATCACATTAGTTAGGACTTTACTTACCTTTTAAAACTAAGGACACACCTACAAAATTAAAGTTTTGTTCAAATTTTTTGCAATTAATAAAAATTGGGCCTAGCTTTATACCATCTTCTTTCTACCATTTTAATAACATTACTTCTATATCATCATTCATAAGGGTTTTTATCCCCATGCTTCACATATACTTTACAAAATAGAAAATATTAAACTAAGGTGAGTGCTTTAGGCACTTTTATTCATTCAATAAATATGTTTTATACTTACCATGAAAGCTTTAGAGTGTTGGAATATAGCAGTTAAAAAAGTCAAAATACCTTTCGTAATTTAACTTAGAGTAGAGAGATAATATTTAATACATGTAGTGTGTGTTAATAGGTGCTTTAAATTTTATAAAGAATATAAGTCAGTGTAAGTATATAAAGAGTGATGCAGCAGAATGGAGATCTCTTTATATGGGGAGTTCGGGAAAGGCTTTTTAATAAATTTTTATGTTAGCAGAGATGTGGTTTAAGTGAGAAATTGAGTCATATTCAAAATTGAGGAACAATATTTGTAAGAGCAAATATCCAGTGCAAAGGCACAGATGTGGGAGTAATCATGGAATGCCCAAAGCTCATTAGCCATTGTGGCCAAAACACAGTAAAGAAGGAAGGAAAAAATTTCAGGAGTAGCTGAGGATGAAGAATTCTAGGGACAGATCAAGTAGGGCCTCAAAGGTCATGGTAATGAGTTTTTTATTCCACAGATCCTTGTAAAATGGAAAGTTATTGAAGGCCATTGAGCAAAGGGGGAATGTTATATGACTTGCATTTTAAAAGGATGTCCCTGGTTCCTGAATAAAGAATATTTTACATGAAGACAAATGTGGAAATAGGAAGACTTGGTAGATGGCTGATGTAACCATCTCAATAGCAGTTCAAGATACCATAAACCTAGATCATGTTTCTGGGTGTGGTAAAATTTTGGGTCTATTTTGAAGAGAAAGTTACAAGGGTTCAATAGAATGGATGTGAGAATAAAATAGAGATGTATCTAGGATAATTCCACAGTATAATAGATTTTTTTTTGAGAGAAAAAACATAGAAGCCAGAGATGCTGGTTTTGAGTAGAAGATCTGGAGTTAGAGTTTGGAAATATTAGCATTTAAATTCCTACAAGAAATCCAGCTTAACACGTCTAGCAACCATTTGGATATCCATGTCTGAGGTTTAGTCAAAGTGTTCAGGTTAGAAATTAAAAAGTGGAAATTGGAAGAATATAGTTGGCACTGACAGTCACAGTCCTGGATCAACTCAGCTAAGGAAGTAAATTTAGAGAGAGAAGAGGAAGGATCTGCAGACTCATCCTTAGGGCATTCTAAAACTCAGAACTTTGTAAAAATGAATGGCAGCTAGCAAAAACTCTCTCATTGACTAAAGTTTAGTCAGGCTTCTCTGGGCATTCTTTTTGACTAGGCCTTGACCTTACTTCTTTCCTGTCTTTAGCCTGCCAAGCTCTGACTTAATAAGAATTTTTTAAACTAATTTAGGAAGAATACTCCCACCCATAGTATCTGATTACCCCTGATATGTGATAATGTTTCTAGTCTTCCACCCTTGACATATCAGTCCTTCACCTGCTTCAGTAAGAATCTGATTCAGTTGGTTTAGAAAGAATTCCCTTACCCTGGGTGTCTCCTCTCAGTAATTTTCTACCCAGTGACCTTCTTACTGTTCTCCTTGACTATAAATCTTCAGGTGCCTTTTCTGAGTCCAGAATTGAGCATGATCTCACTTCTCTTGAATAAAGTCTTCCTTAGCATTTTAACAAAAGCCAGAAGAACTATTTCTTTAACAGATCCAGCAACACAATCTGGAGTAAAATAATCTACAAAGTTGAAAAATAAGAGATTAGGGTGTTCTGTCAACTAAATAAAGGAAACAAGAAAATAGGAGTCACTGATTTGTGTCATATGGTGCTGTTAGAGCAAGGCAAAGACTGAGAACTGGTAGCCATGTGAAGTCATTGGTAACCTTGAACAGACCCTAACCTGAGGAATGGGGATAAAATATTATTTGGAATTTATTCCAGAGGAAATGACCAAAGATTGAATTGGAGACAGAAGATACAGTTTTTTCCCCCCATGGAAGTTTTATCAAATGTTGAAACAAATGTAGCCTTGTATGTGGAGTGGAAATGGGGGATCAAGAAAATATTTTAAGATAGGAGATAGTATTGCAAAATATTTTTATATTTACAATAATGAGTCAGTAGAAAGTAAACAAAACAATGATGAATGGAATATGGAAGGCTATTGTAAGAGTGTTTGAGTAGGACAGAGATTACATGATCTCATGCAGAAGGGACAGTGAGGTACTGAAATTAGAGAAGAGAATGAAAAATCTTAATAGGAAGCAAGGTGCAGAAATGCATATACATACAAACCTGCAGAGAGCTTGTCGATTGGTTGTTGGCAGAACACCCACGTGTTAGGAGAACATTCATACCTTTAGGGAGATTGTTCATTGGGTGTTGAAAGAACAGGTGCAATTTTTCTCCTGAATGCTTCCTGTTTTCTAGGGAACTAGGAGTAAGTTCATCAACCGAGAAAGAGATTATCCTAGAAGCTTGACAAGAAAAGAGTTGTGGATTTCTCTCCTTTGAAAGTGAGAGAGGGAATTGATTAGAGAAATCTAGCTGGATTCCAGGTAGCATTAAGGGTCCACTTCTTGGACATGCCCTTAAATTAAAAATAAGAATATTCACCATGATCATTGTTTTTCTCCACACAAATTTAGTTTTTCAGATACGGGTGCAGAGTAGCAGGAGTGTTGAAGAAAAAAAAAAAAAAGCGCTAAGGTTTTGCCAGGAGAGTATGATGGAAAAAAAAGGGCTCAGAAGTGCCCTACACTGAAAAGCTTTAATATATAGATATTATAGCTTCATATCTACCAATTAATCTGATGACTATCATCTACCTTATAAAATAGAAAAGAAGACTGGGCAAGGTGGCTCATGCTTGTAATGCCAGCACTTTGGGAGGCTTACGTAAGAGCACTTGACACTGGGAGTTCAACAACAGCCTGGGAAACATAGCAAGACCTTATCTCTACAAAAATTTTTTAAAACTTAACCAGGCAGGGTGGCATGTGCCTGTAGTCCTAGCTAATCAGAAGGCTGATGCGGGGAGATTGCTTGAGCTCAGGAGTTCCAGGCTGCAGTGAGCTATGATCACGCCACTGTTTTCCAGCCTGAGCAACAAACAGTGAGACCCTGTTTCTACCAAAAATAAAATAAATAAAATAAAATAAAATAAAAATAATTGTAACAATCATTCATTAAATGGAAAAATAAGGAGAAAAAAACTAAAAATTTTAAGTCTCAATAATGGGAGTACAGCTACATTTATAAGAAAATGGCTTCCTAACCTTCATAATCCATTCTTCTTTTAAGCCAACTACATAAGAAAACTTCAGAATCTAATATTGATTCTCAAGATGTTTGCTTATAAAGTAAGAATCCTTTTACCCTCAAGATTCCTATGCCATACCATGTCAGGGCTGCATGCTTAGAAGCAGCAAATTGTGCTCTCAGTGCCCATCAATTATTCATCAAGACAAAAGTTTCTACACCAGAAGGCTGCTCTTCATCTTTGACTTTTCACCTCTGCCAGGGTTAACTCAGCAGATTTCATTTTCTTGTCTTAAGAGTTCTTGATATTTTCCCAAAAAGAAGAAGAAGAAAAAAGACATGCAGACTTACTTATGTCAAATGTGAAAGGATAAACATTGCAGGGCTTTGAGGAATTATCCTGAAGTTCTGGCAGGAAAATATTAGAAACTTTGCTATGAGATTGCACAGTAAGGACTTTTGTGTTTCCTACCAAGGAGAGTGTTTGGACACATTGACTTTGGTCCCATCATCAGCTGCTGCACATTCATGATTTCCCTATAATGAATGGTAAAGGAAGAAAGTTGAGAAAAAATATGACAGGAGAATATACACCACTAAAAGTCAGTATAGATAACACTGGAAAATGACTGCCATTGAACCTGTTACAGGTTGAAGTAAACCTTCCCTCATTTATCTGTTGAGGTTCTAATGCCCCAGTACCTCAGAATGCCACCTTATTTGGAAATAAGGTCTTTATTGAGCAAAGGAGTCAAGTTAAAATAGTCACTGGAGTGAGCCTTAATGCAATATGGCTTGTATACCTATAAGAAGAGGGTATTCGGACACATGCATACATAGATGTATGATTTAACTGGAAGGTGATTTTAAAAGATACAGGGAGAAGACAGCTTTCTACAAGAGAAGGAGAGAGGCCCAGAACACATCTTTCCTTCACATTCCTCAGAAGAAACCAACCTGCCAACACTTTGCTTTTGGACTTCTAGCCTCCAGAACTGTGATACAATAAATTTGTTGTTTAAGTCACTTAGTTTATTCTACTTTCTATGGCAGTCCTAGCAAACATAAACAAGAACCATTCAAATTTTAGTTGAAAAATATTTGTTTGCTCTTCACTTGGTGGAGAGTATACTTTGAGGTGCTCTGTGGTGGCATGTGCTATGCAGGAGCAGTGGTTTTGTCTACCTTCTTGATGATGATAATTTTTCCAGCCCCTCACCCTCAAAATATTCTGATTAAGGTGATCTGAATTGGGGCCCAAGAATTAGAACATTTATTAAGTACCACAGGTAACCCTAATCCTCAAGTAAGTTAGGGAATATGTAATTTACTAGAAGTAAATCAGCAATGTAAACAGTTAAAAATATTCAATTGTGTGAAAGGAACATAGAAAGTGTATCATGTGAGATTATTCTAATTACTTCCAATATGTTAGACATTATAAACACTTCAGCACTTTTGAGAGGATATGGGAGTGTGTATATCTGTATCTATCTAAAAACCACATTTATGTCTTTTTCTAGTTATATAGTTGAGTCCATATGACAATAGCTGTATCTACTTATATAAATTATTTATTGGATGAAACATTTTATTATAAATTTTACATAAAATTAACAATAATTAAGATAAAAATGTTTTATAGGTTCAAACCAGTATACATATTACTAAAAACACTATAGGTAAGTAAAACAAAGCTATGGAGAACTACTTAGTATACAATGTTTTTATAAAAGTCAAATAAATGCTATTCTCAAGAAGGGGACTGGTATATCATTTATTAGTTGTAACTATTGAGAATTCTTACTGAGCTTTCCAAAAACTGAATATTGTATTTAAGGAGTGAATTACCTGCCAAATGAGGCATTTTTGTGTTATTTAACTATTTTAGTGTGTCTATCAATAAAGAATAGAGAAGCCACATTATTGAATATATAATTTTGAAAGAGATGCATGATTATGCAATTAATAGTTATATGTCCTTAAAGTGAGGAATGTAAAGATATGTTGGAGAGTCATGTATGTATTGAGTGTTCTCTTTGTGTAAGGATGGTTATATGGTGACAAAATCACACAGGTTGAATATGCTGAAGAGCCATTTAGATACCAATTACTTTAGTTCTGTGAAGCTGGCATGTACTTCCCAGTTGTTCAAAAGAACCAAAGACTCTTCTCCCTGGGAGATCCTGTGCTTGCCTGAGAGTAGAGCTTTCACTGGTGGGGGTATTGGGTCCTCATTCACAGATGAAGCAAAACCATTTTAACTGCAAGTATCCAGAAGACTAAGGCTGAAATCAGGAAATTCTAATCTAAATTTTGGAGGCCCAGAACATCAGACTAAGGAAGGGGACCTTTTCTATCAAAGCATTAAGAATCTTATGAATCATTACAGATGATTTGATGATTTGTTTAGAAACCTAAATAAAACAAAATAAAATTTCTGCAAATTTTCAGAGGAAAAAGAGTCATGATCCCATCAATAACTTAGTAGGTGGATCTGGTGATCTTTGATAAAATTGATTTCAGGGATGGGTGAAACTGGTTACACAGACTGGTTATATTTAGTCATTAGATGTTCTTTAGACATAATATTAGATATTACATGCACTTAGAAATTATATCCATTGTTTTATTTCATTCAACCAATATTTATTGAACAACTACTATGTGCCAGATATTATTCTAAGCACTGATGAATGGTGTAAACAAGAAAGACCAAGTCCCTCCCCTCATTAAGCCCATATTCGAGTGCAAGAGATGGAAAATGAACTCTTTAACAAAATATTAAAATATATTGCAGGTAGAGGTGACTGAAAATGAATGTAATGCAAAGTATGCAGACAGAGAGTGACAGGATGTGGGAAGAGAACTCTTAGTTGATTTCATCATGGAAGTCCATTGGAAGGAACATTAAGTGGATTTGAACAAGCCACGGGAGATGATAGCCCAGAAGAATTGCTTTCAGATGGGGGGATTCTTGACAGGCCATCCTCTCACATGCCAGGCACCTGATGTAAGAGTACAAATGGAGAGCAACATGTCATCTCGCTAAACAGTTAAAATTTTAACAGAATTCATGCTCACGGGCTGTCAAGGTTCCAATTCTATACTCATCTCATGCCAGTATGAGGCTTAGGGGCAGCCTGGATCTGTGGGGATCAAGATCAAACACAGAACTCTCCTGAGCCTGGGCTATCCAATCAAGATTCCCAGGGAGCAGGCCGGGCACGGTGGCTCACGCTTGTAATCCCAGCAATTTGAGAGGCCGAGGTGGGCGGATCACGAGGTCGAGATCCAGACCATCCTGGCCAACATGGTGAAACCCCGTGTCTACTAAAAATACAAAAATTAGCAGGCCTTGGCGGCACGTGCCTGTAGTCCCAGCTACTCGGGAGACTGAGGCAGAAGAATTGCTTGAACCCGGGAGGCAGAGGTTGCAGTGAGCCGAGACTGCGCCATTGCACTCCAGCCTGGTGACAGAGCAAGACAACGTCTCAAAAAAAAAAAAAAAAAAAAAAAAAAAAAAAGATTCCTGAGGAGCCATGCCTCATTTTTCCCACTCAGAATTTGCAAAAAGTTGTAAATGTCTGTAAAGTGACAAAAACCTAGCAGAGGTCAGAAAATAAGTTTTACTACATACATAGTTGAGGGATTTGGGGTAAACAAATGGAAACCGCAGCCTCCTCTTTTTTCTGGTTTATCACTCCAGAGCCTGTGGTTTTCTCCTTTTTGCCTTTACTCCTACACACGTGTGCAAAAGTGCACACACCTGCACAAACGCAGAGTCTCACATACTCTTACACACTTTCATTGCACTCAGCCATACACTCGCTCATATACACTTACACAAACCCAAACCCAATCATACATACTCACCTTTTTTGCTCTTTCAGACTTACAAGCTTTGGTCTGTACATCCCAGTTCAGCTTTGGGGCGATCACTGGCCCATAAACATATGTGCCCCATTGGGTTACTGAGCTTTTAAAAACTGAAAACAAACAAGCAAACAAAAAACAAACAAACAAAACAACTCCTGTTATTCCGAAGGAGAAAAGAAACATTTTCTGTTTTAATTTGTGATCATCAGGGTCTTCTAAAGCATAGGGCTCAGGAAGGAGGGTTATCAACATCTGGCCAAGGGCTGGAGATGGAAATGTTTCCAGACCCTAAAGCAAGAAAAAGATCAGCAGGTTAGAGAAAAAGTAAGATGGCCACTTACTTAGAGTGAATTTAGATAAGAATAAAAGCCGTGCCCCAGGAGTAGGCAAGAGGCTGATTATTGAGATCCTGTAACCCATGGGAAGGAACCCTAATCTTATGATGCTGGTGATGAGAAAGTGTTGGTGGGGTAGAGTAAGAGAACACATTAATCTGCTTTGCCTCATGGAAAGAATAAATTCTGGTAGACATATGTAGATGCAGAGAGTGAGCTATTATAGTTTTTGTAAGAGAGATTATGGTTTGACTTATGGTGACAGTGATGGACATGGTGAGCAATGGATGCCTTTGTGATCTGCAGACTTTTTACCTGACACACTGAGTGCATGATCATGCCATTTACTGAGAGGTGACAATGGTAAAGGATTTAGTTATGGGAGAAATACGTCAAGTGTTCTGTTCTGTTCTGTTCTTACATGTTTTTTGTTTGTTTGTTTTTGAGACAGGGTTTAACTCTGTTGCCCAAGCTAGAGTGTGGTGGCATGATCGTGGCTCACTGCAGCCTTGATCTCCTCGGCTCAAGCAATCCTCCTACCTTAGCCTCCCAAGTAGCTAGGACTACAGGTATGCACCAGAATGCCTAGCTAATTTTTAAATTTTTTGTGGAGATGGGTTCTCCCTATGTTACCCAGGCTGGTTTTAAACTGCTGCCCTCAAGGGATCCTCCCCTATTCGCCCTCACAAAGTACTGGGATTACAGGCATGAGCCATGCTGTGACATGTTTGATTAGGATCTTTATGAGTCATCTAAATTGGAAACACAGAGTATACTTTTGAGTATTTGGTCCAGAGCTCAGATCACGGCTGGAGTTATAAATTTGGGAGACAGCATAGATATGTGTTGCATTAGAGGCACTGGTTTTCCAAAAAATTCAAATAATATGTGAACTTCCAGGAATTAGACTGGATATACAAAACGAGGCCTGGATAGAAGTCAGTATTGAATTTAGAGATACAAGAGATTCCAAAATATTAGAACTAGAGAGATGTTTTCCAAATCAGAGTTCTCTCTCTCTCTCTTTCCCCCCCTCCCTTCCTCCCTTCCCCCCCTCCCTTCTTCCTTCCTCTCTCTCTCTCTCTCTTTTTAACACAGTCTCACTCTTTCACCCAGGCTGGACTTTCTGGTGCAATCTCGGCTCACTGCAGCCTCCGCCTCCCGGGTTCAAGCCATTCTCCTATCTCAGCCACCAAAGTAGCTGGGATTACAGGCTCCCATCACCACTCCTGCCTAATTTTTATATTTTTAGTAGAGGTGGGGTTTCACCATGTTAACCAGGCTGATGTCCAATTCCTGACCTCAAGTGATCTGCCTCCATGGGCTTCCCAAAGTGCTGGGATTACAGGCGTGAGCCACCGTGCCTGGCACAAATCATCTTTTAAAATCTCCACTAAATTTTGGAAGGAAAGTGGTTTTCCTCACTCCAGGATGTGGGGATTAATCACACAAAGTTCTTAAACATCAGAGAAATGGGGGAACTTTGAGGAGAAGAGTTTGTAGTGATGGGATGAAAATGGGTAACGGCAGAACTATAGGGAATTCCAACATTTAACAGAAGAATCAGATCCCGTTAAAGGAAATATTGGTCTTGTCAAAACGAATTTCATTAATTTGAAGGGGGAGTAGCTTAAACAGCATGAGTTTTTCTGTAATGACAACAGCTGGCAAAAGGTGAGGAAGAGTTGAGGAAAGAACAAAAGAAAGGACATGAAAATGACAATAAAGATATTGCAGGACAATATTTGTACTTTAATGGCATATTAGTCCATTTTCACACTGCTGATAAAGACATACCTGAGACTGGGCAATTTATACAGGAAAAGGGGTTTAATGGATTTGCAGTTCTGCGTGGCTGGGGAAGCCTCACAATCATCAGGGAAGGCAAGGAGGAGCCAGTCACCTCTTACATGGACAGCAGCAGGCAAAGAGAAGACAGAGCTTGTGCAGGGGAATTCCTCTTTGAAAAATCATCAGATCTTGTGAGACTCATATGCTATCACAAGAATAGCACAGGAAAGACCCGTCCCTGTGATTGAATCACCTCCCATGGGGTTCCTCCCAAGACACATGGGAACTCTGGGAGTTACAATTCAAGATGAGATTTGGGTGGGAATACAACCAAACCATATCAAATGGTATGGAATCTTATAACATAACCATTGAAGAAAGTTACAGACTAAAAGAAGAATCTAATATGTAGGGGATATTAGTAAATATGATTATTTTTCTAAAGGGTAAGCATTCTGAATAGGGTTTTTAAAAATTATCTGCCCTTTTGATTATTATAAAATAATATCTACTTTGAAATCATTTAACAATAAAGGGGATAAATAACATTTTCTGTGTTTACTAAATTAACTTCATAAATTAATGAATACTTTAATTAATAGATTTATAATTAAAAGACTTCAGTTTAAAAACGTTAAATATTCTTATTTTTACTTTAGATGAGAGGGTATTACAACCTTCCTACATTTCCGACCCCAACTTTATACCTCATTTAATTTTATAGATTTACTCTTTTATTTGTTAATTTATTCAACAAGTGAACAATTATTCATGAGGAATTTGGCTAGTACTAGACATTTTTATGTGTTTTCTGTATACAGTGTTTTTTGAATCCAGGCAATAATCCACTGAATATGTGTAATTTTGTTTACATATCTTGTTCCCATATTATAAAACATTTTTATACATGGTAAAACTATGACTATATTTAAATTTACAGGATACTTAGCATTCACATTTCATTGAGTAGGCTTTTAGAAAATGAATTAAGAAATAAATCATTGATTGTTTCATATGTACGTTGTCAAAAAAATCCTATTCAGAAGCATTGTGGCATTTTACACACACACAAATGTAATTGTGAGAGTATTCATTTACAGCTAATTGTTGACAGTGTTGGTTAATATATTTTGCTAATTAGATTTGTGTAAAAAGAATTACTCATTATTTTATCTCATGTATCATTTGTCCCTTTTAGTTTGGATACTTTCTTGATTATATGTTCCTAATAGCACTTTAACTTTTTTGTAATTTATTAATTCGTGGTCTCTGCCTGTTCATTTACTGGAACCATAGGTGTTTTCTCCTTAATGTTGTTTCTTCATTTAATGATATTTTGTTCTCTTGGAATCTTTAATGAAACAAATTTTTCATCATGGATTTTAGTCATGATTTTTAAAACTCCTTGCTAATTGTCTAATTAACTAAATTAACAGTGTTTATATGCAATGAGTTGAGTTCCTTTCTGCTTTAGTGGACACCTTATTGTTGTTATTTTTTCTCACATACTTTTTTCTGACTTTCACTAGAGGTTTATTTAATTTCAGTGTGTGCTGGCTTCTCTAAAAGTTTTGCAGCTACCACAAGTTTGTAAACATTCCCATGGGCAGAATTTGTTTTTAATTCTGTCAGGGCTCAAGGAATTATATTTGTTCTACTTCAATTTTCATGTTACTGTCTCCAGAGACCCAGATCTTCACAGGTGTGGGTGGCATCTGATTTTTCTTCAGTGACTATTTTTCCACCCAGGGACCACAGTAGGCAGCCTGCCACGATGCCACCCAGGTAGTTAGTTTGATCCGACTACCTGAGTCAAATGGTAGTTTTTTAGTTGCTGTTTCAAAAATGGAAACTCTCCTCTTAACTCAGGCTTTGTTGCAGGAAGCCCATGTCCAACAGCCCTCTAAAAGGTGGGGTCTAGCCTTATATCCCAGCATTTCACAGGCACATTCAATAGGCTCTGATTATGTGTAACTATCCCTGGTTTTAACTACTTTCTCCTGACCCTCACATTTCTATCATATATATGGCTTTAATTCCCTCCTTGTTTCTGGCAAGGGGTATCTGATTTTTGCCTTTAACTAAGCTGTATATTTTTGGTGTTCTTGATATATTATTTGTCAGACTTATTGCTGGGGAGTTTCCTTGTAAGATCTCTAAGAAATTCTTTATTCTAGTGTGGATAGTTTGTTGTTATAATTTCTGTTAGACCTCTAAGATTCATAAATTATCATTCTTTTAGTGTTTGATAGATGTATCTTATAGTATATTTCAGCTTGTTTTAAAGGGTACTTTGCTCCATCTGGAATTAATAAATGCATAATATGAGGTAATTTGTACAATTAGGTAAGGTTTTGAACTGATTTTTCCCAATCATTAAAAAATTTCAGCAATATTGATTGAATACCTTTTCCTCACTCTTTCTTGTACTATTCATATGCTCATATAACATTTAATAAATTCTATAGAAATGGAGAAGTATAATGACAAAAATGAAAAAAAAACATGAAAATTATCTCCCAGGAGACCACAATTGAAGTAAATATATAAATAAATAATATGAAAATCAAAATATAATAAATAATTGGAGGCAAAGTAAATGAAGTAAAATATGGACTCTCACCCAGCTCCTCCTCAAAGTTTTCTATGTGTCATTTATATATTGAATTTATAAATTTTTTTTACAAAGGCAACCATATTATTCATATACACATTATTCTGTACCTTACTGTGTTCACTAATATGTCTTGGAAAATATTTTTTTAGCCCTTAGATATTTACTTCCTTTATTTAATGAATGCAGGTTTTTTTTTTTTGCTTTTTTTTAACTATAGATAACTCATAATGTGTTTAATTGGTTGACTTCACTTGAATACATGTTCATTTTTTTTTAACAGTAGTAAAATGATTATTCTCTACTCACTTCTTATGATCACTAGGTCAAAAATAGAGCAATTACAATATTGCTAGATATTGGCCAGGTACGGTGCCTCAGGCCTGCAATCCCAGCTGGGAGGTCAAAGCAGGTGAATGACTTGAGGTCAGGAGTTCGAGACCACCCTGGCCAGCATGGTGAAACCTCGTCTCTACTAAAAATACAAAAATTAGCCAGGTGTGGTGGCACGCACCTGTAGTCCCAGCTACTCGGGACGCTGAGGCAGGAGAATCGCTTGAACCCGGGAGGTTGCAGTGAGCCGAGATCGTGCCACCTCACTCCAGCCTGGGTGACCCAGCAAGACTGTCTCAAAAAAAAAAAAAAAAAAAAAAAGCTAGACATTGGCCTGGCGCGGTGGCTCACACCTGTAATCCCAGCACTTTGGGAGGCCGAGGCAGGTGGATCACCTGGGGTCAGGAATTTGAGACCAGGCTGACCAACATGGTGAAACCCCATATCTACTAAAAATACAAATACTAGCCAGGTGTGGTGGCAGGCGCCTGTAATCCCAGCTACTCGGGGGATCAAGGCAGGAGAATCACTTGAAACTGGGAGGCAGAGGTTGCAGTGAGCCGAGATCGTGCCATCACGCTCCATCCTGGGGGACAAGAGGAAGACATCGTCTAAAAAAAAAAAAAAAAAAAAAAAAATTGCTAGATATCATCAACTGTTCTCTAGAAAAGTTGCATAATTTATTTAAACAGTGACCAAAAGATTATAACATTTGCATTTCCCAGACTCTTGATATTACTGGACATTATGGAACTTCTTAAACATCTCTGCTATAAGTGAAAAGGTTAGATCCCACTTTCGTTTTTATTTGCAGTTATTAAATAATGAGTAATTTTTGAGCCACACCTCCAAAGTTTGGATTAACAAGACTGAAAATAATATTACACCACAATTTTTGTCTGTATTTGCCTTTCCGAGAAAACAGAAACATGCTTTTTATTTATTTTTCTGCTTCTTTGTTCGTAAGAGCAGAGAGCCAAACAGTGGTTGCCAAGGCATGAAAGATGTGGGAAATGAGATGTTTGTCACAGGGTATAAACAGGCATTTGTAAGATGAATAAGTCTGGGACTGTAATGTACAGCATAATGACGACACATAGTAAAATCATATTGTTTACTTGAAAAAAATAAATTATATTACAGGTAAAAGTAAAACAAAACCCAGAAAGAATCTTTACATTTTTTAATGTCATTCTTAAAAGTTTGATATTTTAAACTTAATATTTCTAGCTGCTTATATTTTCTAGTTTTGCATATTACCTGCACTTGCTTTCTCTAATTTTTCATTTACTTATTTGGGCAGCCATTCACTTATTAATTTAGAATATTTGGCTCATTTTATGAATTAGATAGTGATTTCTTATTTATTTATTTATTTATTTTTGAGATGAAGCCTCACTCTGTTGCCCCGGTTGGAGTACAGTGGTGTGATCTCGGCTCACTGCAACCTCCGTGCCTCCTGGGTTCAAGCGATTCTTCTGCCTCAGCCTCCCAAGTAGCTGGGACTACAGGTGTGTGCCACCATGCCCGGCTAATTTTTTGTGTTTTTAATAGAGACGGGGTTTCACCGTATTAACCAGGATGGTCTTGATCTCCTGACCTCATGATCCACCCGCCTCAAAGTGCTGGGATTACAAGCGTGAGCCACTGCACCCAGCCAATTTCAGTTTTCAAAATTCATTACTTGCAATTATTTTCTTATTATTTTTATTGTGCTCTATGGCTTATGGATTATGGTTTTCTCTATATATACTGCTATGGCAAAGTCAGTGTGTTTCTATAATTATCACAGCCACATGAGTTTTATTCACTCCTTCAAAAAATATGAACTAACTTCACTAAGAGCTCCTAATCTTTACATTTCTTTGACATACTCTTGTCTCACACAGTAAATTTGCCTGGATGATATATTATTGCATTTTTTGTTTATTATTTGATTAAAATAAGATAGCTAAACAAAAATTTTAATGTTGCAATACATTAATTTTTATTGATTGTATAAAATTGATGGTACATAATAACTGCAATCTTAATTTTGGTATTAAAATAAGAATAAAATATTATAGGAGTGGTACTTATACTCATTTAAATATTCATAATATAAATTTTAATATAGAAATTCAGAAAAGCAAACAAATAAAAGTTGGAACTTGATGTGATACAATGTCTTTTTAAGATGAAAAACTAAAACATGAGTGGTAGATAATTAATTTTTCAATTACAACAGAGTACATGTTGTATTGAGAAAATTCTTAGAGAGACACCTGGAACAGTTGGACACTAATTTTCTTGCTGAGGGTACAGTTTAACCTCGTACAGTGATTATAGCAATAAAGTTAATGATCTCGTTACAGCCACACCAACATTTTTATAGTGCTATTAAATGGATATACTTATTCAAGATGTGTGAAAAAGAGGTTTTAATAGGCCAAAAAAAAAGAAAAAACCCAAAACAAAACCCCAAACCAGTATTGTTTTCTGCCATTTAGTTTTCTAAGTTGAAATAAACACAAAGCATGATTAACTATAGCTGAAATCGAGTAAAAGAAACAGCTGAAAGAAACTCTTTTGAGTCTCACATTTAATATACCTCTAGTGATTGTAATTTGAGTTCATAGAGTGTTATTGAAATATTGTAAACAAATATGCAACATTAAAATATCTAAAAAGATATGCTAAATATTAAATTTGGAAAGCATATCAATTTTGTGATGTTACTCTTTTCAAGGCTCAGATCTATTAAATAATGTAATAGAAATTGTGTCATAATGAAATCCCCAATTGTTGGCCTTTCAGCTAAAATGTATGGTACATTCAAAGAAGTATTTTTTCTTTCTCTAGAGCCAGAATGTGTTGTACTTGGTAGGTTCTGGTTTCTGGGTTGAACTGTGTCTCCAAAAAAGAAATGTTGAAATCCGAAGCTCTGGTACCTATGAATATGGCCTTATTGGGAAATAGGGTGTTTGCAGATGGAATCAAGTTAAGATGAGTTTTTTTAGGATGGGATCTAATCCAATATTGCTAGTATCTTCCTAGGAAGAGGAGAGGACAGAGATATGCAAAAATAAGGTGGTCATGTGACAACAGAGACAGAAATTGGAGTTATGCATCTACCAACCAAGGAGCAGCAAGAATTGCAGGCAAACCACCAGACACTAAGAAGAGTCAAGGAGCCCCGGCGTGGTGGCTTATGCCTGTAATCCTAGCACTTTGGGAGGGCAAGGCGGGTGGATGATTTAAGGTCAGCAGTTCGAGACCAGACTGGCCAATATGGTGAAACCCCATCTCTACTAAAAATACAAAAATTAGGGCCGGGCACGGTGGCTGATGCCTGTAATCCCAGCACTTTGGGAGGCCGAGGCGGGTGGATCATGAGGTCAGGAGTTCGAGACCAGCCTGGCCAAGGTGGTGAAACCCCGTCTTTACTAAAATTACAAAAATTAGCTGGGCATGGTGGCGGGCACCTGTAATCCCAGCTACTCGGGAGACTGAGGCAGGAGAATTGCTTGAACCCAGGAGGCGGAGGTTGCAGTGAGCTGAGATCGCACCACTGCACTCCAGCCTGGGTGACAGAGCAAGACTCTGTCTCAAAAAAAAATAAAAAAATTAGTTGGGCATGTTAGCAGGTGCCTGTAATCCAAGCTACCCAGGAGGCTGAGGCAGGAGAATTGCTGGAACTTGGGAGGTGGAGGCTGCAATGAGCCAAGATCGCACCACTGCACTCCAGCCTGGGTGACAGAGCAAGACTCTGTCTCAAAAAAAAAATTAGTTGGGCATGTTAGCAGGTGCCTGTAATCCAAGCTACCCAGGAGGATGAGGCAGGAGAATTGCTGGAACTTGGGAGGTGGAGGCTGCAATGAGCTGAGATTGCACCACTGCACTCCAGCCTGGGCCACAGAGAGAGACTCCATCTCAAAAAAAAAAAATGAAGAAGAAGAGGAAGAGGAAGAGGAAGAAGGAGAAGGAGAAGGAAAAGGAGAAGGAGAAGAAAGAAGAGGCAAGGAAGGATTCTCTCCAACCAACTTCAGAGGGAGCATGGCCCACCTGACACCTTGATTTCAGACTTCTACCTTCCAGAACTGTGAGGCAATACAGTTCTCTTGTTGTGATCCACCCAGTTTGTAGTATTTTGTCACAGCAGCCCTAAGAATCTAAAACAGTCATGAAACCTTTGGAATGTTTCCCCTGGCAATTATTGGGGCACTTGTTTGGCAAATAAAAATGGCTCAGCTTTATCTGAATTCCACTCAGACTCATGTTTCAGCATAAAGATCAGTGTCTGAACTCTGAAAGCTTGATTGCTTTCATGTCAGGAAAAGGACTCAGTATTTTCAGGAGATAAATTAACCTTGATTTTCTTTTTTTTAAGAAAAAAATCACTTTTACTGCACTTAAAAAAAAAACCATGAATAATTCAGTTCAGATTCAGCCAGAATGGAACTCCAAGCACACTCAAAACTGTTGTGCATCTTTTTGATCTTTTGTTGTGAGCTCCACAATTGTCTTTGTACCCTGTTAAGTCCAGCAAAAGTCAACCATGCAGAGATCCTGTACTGCTAGGTGACACATATCTTAAGCTAGAGAAAAGTGTGTCAAATTTTGCATAAATTATGTCAAAACTGAAACTTGCATGAGCTAATTTATTTATATTATGAATATCATTATAATATGATTTAGCCTTCACAGGTTTCCAAGCCTACAGATTTTTTTTTTTCCATTCAAAGACTTTCAGATTTAGAAGAGTAGGTCATGGATGTACTTACAAATCAATAGTTTGATTGGGCACGTGTTAAATCTTTTGTTCTGTGCTGTTTAAGATATAGATCACATAATACATCATAATTTCCTTTAGCGGACAGCTTAAATGTAGTAGAATATCTAAAACTGTTAAATATGTGTTTAATATACTAAGAGTATCAGCATGTGAAGTTCCCAGGACCTGGAAAACGTTTGAAATCTTAGATTTGTTAGCAATAGTGTACAGGAGTCAATACACACTGACACATGAGAGCTGATTATTTAATTCCCAGAAATTCTGCGAGGTTATTGTTAAACACAGACTTTATTAAGAGTTGATTACACACACACACACACACACACACACACATATATATAGACAAAACATTTAAAAAAAGCATTGTAATGAATACTCAAAACTCATTTGCTTCTAATTATTTCATTACATTTTTCTCTTACCTGTCTTTTTGAGATCGTTTTATATATATATATATATATATATATATAATATCCACATGGCAGAAATGAATAATGGCGTGCTATTGTGTGTCTCTTGCCAAATTTGCTCACTATTCACTGGCTTGAAATTAAGCATGTCGGGAGTATTTAGCAGCACAGAAATGGAAAAACTTTACTAATCTGATTTTGCTTTTCCTCAGAGAGCCAGATGTTGAACATCAATCAACCCACCACTGTTTAAGGTGTGCTGAATTTCTTAGCTTTATTGGACATTGCTTATCATTTACTCCTTTTAAAATCTCTTTCTTCACTTGGTGTCCATGGTATCTCACATCCCTAGCTTTCTTCCTGTCTCTGTAGATGCTCCTTTTAAAGTGTTGTTTACAAACTACCAAAAATGAAATGTTGGCCTCAGTTGTGGCATTTCTCTTTGGTCCCACTTAGTGTATGTGATTTCAACCATTCCCATGGTTGTAAGTGCTATCTATGTGCTGATCACTTCCAGATTTATATCTCTGTCTCAAACTTCTGCTGTGAAATCCATAAACCCATATTTATGGATTTCTGTAATTGACATTTTCATGCGTATGGTTTACATCATGGTTCTCAAATGAGCTTTTGTCAAAATCACCTAGAGTGTCTGTTTAAAATCAAATTGCTGACTTCATCCCTCAGAACTTCTGATTCAGTAGTTCTGGTATTGGATCTGAGAATATTCATTTCTAACAACTTTCCTTCCCGGGTAATGCTGATGATCCAAGGACCTCATTTTTAAACATCACTTGTTTACAAATATCTAAAGGCTATCATTTCAAAATTTATCTATTGATTTCTCCAGTTATCCAGATGTTTTATTTTTATCAAAGACTGTAAATGTTAATAATTTTTCCCCACCACTTTAGCTAGTACCATGTTAGTAAAAGCCTCCTTCAAATTTCAGCTGGGACAACAGCAATGACGATATTACTAGACTTTCTGTTTCTAATTTTGCCCTCTGCCAATAATGTTTCATTCACAGCCAACATAAGCTTTTAAAAAGATACATCAGAATTTTATTTATATTTCCCAAACTTCTCATTATATTGTAAACAAAATCTACAAAAGTTTCCATATCCTCACTCTGTTTACCTCTCAGGTATCATTTTCTTCTACTTCTTCATTCCTTCACATGGCTTCTAATGAGCTCTTTGAACCTGCCAAGCATCTTCCCACATTGTTATCATCTGAATGTTTGTGTTCCTTCCAGATTCATATGTTGAAGCCATAGACCCCGGAGTAATGGTATTTGGAGGTGGAGTTTTTGAAAGGTGATTAAGGTTACATTAGGTCCCAGGTTGGGACCCATTTTAGGAATGAGAGCCCTTAATAGGAAAAGAAGAGAGGCTGGGCACAGTGGCTCAGGCCTGTAATCCAATCACTTTGGGAGGCTAGATTAGGTGGATCATTTAAGGACAGGAGTTCGAGACTAGCCTGGCCAACATGGTGAAACCCCGTACCTACTAAAAATACAAGAAAATTAGCTGGGTGTGGTAGCACACACCTGTAATCCAGCTGCTCAGGAGGCTGAGGCATGAGAATCGTTTGAACCTGGGAGGTGGAGGTTGCAGTGAGCTGAGAGAACACCACTGTGCTCCAGTCTGGCCGACAGAATGAGACTCCATCTCAAAAAAAAAGAAAAATCTGTTATTTAAGCCACCCAGTTTATGGTGTCTTGATACAGCAGCCTGAGAAAACAAACATACCAAGTAAGGGTTTTCCCACAGACTGTTTCTTCTCTTTGTGTAGGGATCTCATAAGTATTGCAAGATTTTAAGTGACACTTTTAAAATAATCACAGAGTAGTCTTACATTCAGTAAAATTTAAGTTTTATCTTTCTATGATATACGAAAGACTAATTGTTAGTTTAATGTAGAAATTATGTTTCATTTTAAAATGCAAATTGAACTAGAAAGCTAATGAAGATTTTTGATTTCTAATGACAAAAATAAAGGCAAATTCAAATCTTCTCCCCCTTCCCCATGGACAGTAAGTTTAATGAGAGAGAAGGAAAATTCAGAGAATAAATTATATGTTAATAACTGTATTTTGTTTACATTGAATATGCATTTAAGGTTTTCTAAAAAGTGGTATTGCTCCATTTTTTACTTATTATATCTCATATTCAAAATAATAGATATCTTCCATGTTTTGGTTAACAACATAATAGAAAATACCAAATTTTCATGGATTAATGAAAACTGTAATAACTAATTTCAAATAAATCATATAAATATTAAAATAATCGATTACTTAGTAATAATTTTGGTACAAAATTACAAAGGAAAAATATATATACATGTATACATCGTGTAATGATCAAATCAGAATAATTAGCATATCTATCACCTCAGATAGTTATCAATTCTTTGCAGTGAGAGCACTCAAAATCCACTCTTCTTGCTATTTTGAAATATGCAGTAAATTATTTTTCACTATAGCCACCCTACTATGCAACAGAACACCAGGATCTATTCCTCCTAGCGAAGTGTAACTTTGTACCTATTAACCAACCTCTCTCATAAGCCTACCTCTCTACCCCTGCCTCTGGTAACCACTATTTAATGCTCTACTTCTATGGGATCATCATTTTACAGATTTTACAAATGAGGTCATGTGGTATTTGTCATTCTGTGCTTGTCTTATTTCACTTAATATAATGTCCTCTACATTCATCTATGTTGACACAAACAATAGAATTTCATTCTATTTTATAGCTGAATAGCATTCCATTGTGCGTATACATACAACATGTTTTCATACCTTTATCCACTGGTGAACACTTAGGTTGATCTCATTTTTTGGTTATTGTGAAGAATGCTGCAATAAATACAGGACTACAAACATTTCTTTGACATACTGGTCTCATTTCCTTTGTAAAAATACCCAGGAGTGAAATTGTGGGATCATATGGTAATTTTATTTTTAGCTTTTTAAGAAACCTCCATACTGGTTTTGATAGTGGCTGTACTAATTTACATTCCCATCAACAGTGTATGAAAGTTTCCCCCTTTCACATCTTTGCCAGCATTTGTTATTTTTTCTTTTTTTGATAATAGCCATTTTAACTGCAGTGAGGTGATACTTCATTGTGGCCTTGAATTGCATTTCTGTGATTAATAATGATGTTGAACATATTTTCACATACCTTTTGGCTATTTTTATGCCTCTTTTAAAATATATATATTAAGGGCTTTGGTCCACTTTTAACTCATTTTTTTTTTTTTTTTTTTTTTTTGCTCTTAGGTTGTTTGAGTTTCTTATATATATTCTCTAGGTTAACTTCTTGTCAGTTGTCTAGTTTGCAAATATTTTTTCTCCCATTCCATAGGTTGTATCTTTGCTCTGTTGATTGTTTCCTCTGTTGTGCAGAAGGTTTTTAGTTTGATATAATCCCATTTGCCTATTTTTGCTTCAGTTGCTGGTGTTTTTGAGTTCCTGTCTAAAAAAACCCTTACCCAGTCCCATGCCATGAAGAATTTCTCCCATGTTTTCTTCTAGCAGTTTCACAGTTTTGGATCTTAAATTTAAATATGTAATCAATTTTGAGTTGAATT
Organism: Homo sapiens; assembly: GCF_000001405.40. Classification (NCBI taxonomy): domain Eukaryota; kingdom Metazoa; phylum Chordata; class Mammalia; order Primates; family Hominidae; genus Homo; species Homo sapiens. The sequence goes on along the minus strand of NC_000005.10, from coordinate 22,452,561 downwards.
TTGTATATGGTGAGAAACAGAGATCTAGTTTCATTCTTCCGCATGTGGATAAAAAATTTTCTCAGAACCATTTATTGAAGAGACTGTTGTGTCCCCATTGTGTGTTCCTGGAAACTTTGTCAAAAATCATTTGACTGTAAATGTGTAAATATATTTCCAAGTTCTTTATTCTGTTCCATTGGTCTATGTGTCTGTGTTTATGCTAGGATTATGCTGTTTTGATTACTATAGCTTTGTAGTACATTTTGAAGTCAGGTAGTGAAATGCCTCCAGCTTTGCTCTTTTTTCTCAAGGTTGTTTTGGTTCCTTGTGATATTTTGTGGTTCCATAGAAATTTTTGGATATTTTTCTATTTTGTGAAGAATTTTATTAACATTTTAATAGGAATTGTGTTGAACCTCTATGTCACTTTGGATAGTATGGATATTTTAACAATATTAATTCTTCCAGTTTATAAACTTGGAAGATATTTTCATTTATTTGTGTCCTTTTCAATTTATTTTTTCAATGTCTTATCATTTTCATTATAGCGATATTTCACCTCATTGGTTAAATGCATTCTTAGGTAATTTTTTGTGTAGATATTGTAAGTGAGATTGTTTTCTTGATTACTTGTTCAGATAGTTCACTGGTAATATTCAAAAATTCTATTGATTTTTATATGTTGATGTTGTGTCCTGCAAGTTTACCAAAGTCATAACAATTCTATTAGTGGAGTCTACACTACTTCATTGGTGGAGTCTTTAGGGTTTTATATATACAAGATAATGCCATCTGCCAACAGGGACAATTTTACTTTCTCCTTTCCAATGTGGAACTTCTTTATTTCATTCTCTTGCCTAATTACTCTGGCTAGGACTTCCAGTACAATGTTGAATGGAAATGTTGAAAGTAGACATCCTTGTCTCATTCCAGATCTTATAGAAAAACGTTCAACTTTTCCTCACTCAGTATGATGATAACTATGGTTTTGTCATATGTGGCCTTTATTATGTTGAGGTACATTCCTTCTATACCTAATTTATTGAGGGCTTTTATTGATGTTGAAGTTTACTAAATGCTTTTTCCACATCTATTGAAATGATTTTATGGTTTTTGTTCTTGATTCTATTGAGGTGCTAGATCATGTGTATTGATTTGCATATAGTGAACCATCCTCGCATTGCTGGGATGAATCTTGGTTGGTCATAGTAATATTAAAGATTTATTTTAAATAACTGGGCAGATATTTATTGATTCAAAATAAATTTAATGTGCTTGTTTTAATTAGATAGAACTTAAAATTTAAATTTTATTAAATCATTTATCATTCATTCATTTGATCACTTACTCTCTATATATTAGACATCCACCATACACCAAGTGCTGTTCTAAACACTGGGAATGAAGGAGTGAACATGATCATGTCCCTGTTCTCATGACACACAAATGGATATTTCACAAGAAACCTAATATAGTAGTAAGTGCAATGCATAGAATGAAAATAGAGCAATGTAACAGAGAATCACTAGGTAGTTACTTCAAGGGAGAATGAGAGTTAAATGCTTTGAGAATGTGACTTGGATCTGAGATCTAAAAGACCAAAATGAAACAGGCATGTTAAGCTTAGGCAAAGAGCATTCCAGTCTGAGAAAGATAATCTAGTTCCTAAGGAAGCTCCTTAGGAAAAAAAAAAAAAAAAAAAGTGGCTTATTAGGTGGGTCTAGAAACCTGGAGACAGGAGAATTTTGGCAGGGAACTCTACTTGTGGTAAGCAGATCTTTAGGTTCCAAGACTGATCAAATGAGCTTTCTTAGCCAGGGCTGGATTGGATTTTATTTGAAATAGGATAAAAACCATTAGATAATTTGAAGCAGAGGAAAGACAACATTGAATGTATGTTTTAAAATACTAAAGAATTATTTGTTCTGCTGGGCAATAAGGGGAAAGGATTTAGGTAACATAACAAATTTAAAAATTATTGTAGTAGTCCAAGTGCAAGATTATAGCAGTACTAAGAAAGAGGGAAACATTGATACAGTGAGACTATGATATTAAATTTGGGGTTGGAAAATATACTAAAATAAATCAATATGAATGATAAAAGATGAATAAATAAAAATGTCATATTTCTGGCTTCAGCAACTGGATAAAGGGGGAGGTCCTTTTTCAAGATTGAGAAGACTTTTAATAAACAGACTTTAGAAGAAAGGAGGTGGATCCATATTTCTCTTTTGATCATGGCAATTTTTTTAGCTTGTAGGTGTTTATTGACGTGGGGATATAAAATATAAATCAAATACTTGATGTATGGCAAGAACATGCTACATATCATGTAGCCACTAACTCTGAAGGTCACTCAGCTTGGAAGGGCTAAAACATAATGCAGGTTTCGCTTACAAAGTTGTTATTCACTTATTTCAATGAGCTATAATATAGATTAATGCAGTTTTCAAGAGAAGAGATTTCAGAAGTCATAGAAATAATAATTGTTAAATACCACAGACTGTCTTCTGTAATTAAAGGGAAAGTTGCTAAGAGTGTTTAATCTATTGTATTTTTAAGGGAATTAGTATTGTAATTTTATTGTTTTATAATCAGGCAGTTTTGTAGACATTTAAAAAATACATACATGAAATCACTATGAGGAAGAAAAGGAGAGGTTGGCAATAAAATAATACTGCAACATTGTCCATATCAATAAATGCAAATGAATGTGTTGGGGTTTTCAGGTAGCATTACCTCTTCTCCAGTATGATGCTGTCAATATTTTCCATTATGCAGAAGTAATTTATATTCCATATTGTCTACTGCATATAAAAAAGAGCAAGTCCATATAACAGATATAAAATAAGTGCTCTTTCTATTTAACCGTTCTGATATTTCTGAATTAATGTGGATGATAAGGTCAAGTACAAATTTAATTACAATCAATTTTCAGATTGTCTCATTTGAATATAACAAATCACATCATTTTCAAAGTTATCTTCTGACTATGCATCTTTAGTTTCAGAGTTGAAAGTAGCGTTGGGAAGAAACACTCTGTAAAATTTTATGTAAGGAGTCTGTAGACATCTAAGAAAAATATTATTTTTGAAAAATACTTTTTATCTAAATAAAATGGATATGGCACTCCCACTCTTTCAGCTCAACATATCTGAAACATTCAGAGAAAAGAATGAATTCTCCCAGGATCTGCATACATCTTTTGTCAAGGGAGTTAATGGGGTGAGAAATGAAAGGAGAAATGGTGTGTTGTGCTTCCTGTAAAGAGACACTCACATTGCATCAAAACAAGGAGTTTCAGATTTCTTTAACTTGTATATGAAAATGGTGTGCAATTGTGCTCAAGGGTGTTGGAAACTGTTGTTCGTTCTGTCATTACTACTTATTTCTTATCAAGCCTTATGTTGGATTTCAGTACAAAATACGCAGTACCAGTAAAAGGTTCATCTCATAACAGCTGAACAAAAAAATTAACAAAGCAATTAATGTATTCAAGGCATTATATATATATATATATGAGATAAACTGAAGGTCTTTGTTCCCTTTCCTCTTTATTGGTTCTTTTTAAAGTTTGCTTTTTGTTTTGTGCTTTTTATTATTATATGAAGACATTTAAGGTGGATAAGGATTCTTGTTGTGACACTAACATAATTGCACTTAGTTTTTATTGACATTTCTTGAAAAAATAATAATCATAAAGCATTTTTCTATACATTATTTCAGTTATTGTTGCCCAGTAGCAAAAGAAACTCCAAATCCTTACATATGTTATTAATACCAGAAGAAGTATCTAGAAAAAAATAGTAGGAAATATATACTCTTTGTATCCAGGATAAGACTGTTTTCTTTTACTTTTACAAAAAAATTAAAATCTTAATTTGAAAACTTTTTTCTTATAACTGCTCTTTAACTATAAACTTATCAGTGCCACCTCATTCTACCATATCTGGAACTTTATAGTCAAAAGGAGATTTAAAGTTAGTGTAAGCATTCAGGGAATTTAGGCAAACAGATAATGAAATCCTCTTATTATTTTTCTGAATTATTTAAATTACTTCACTGTATCACAATAATTCACCAGATAATGATACTTTGATCTGTTTTCTACTCAACTTTTTGTCTGTTGAATGCCTTTTTAAGAAATTTGAATCTCATTATAGTTTTATGTTTGTGGGTGTAAGGGCAGGCTTTATTGGGAGGAAAAGGAACAGAGGAAATTGGACTCATTCACTGGCATATTTTTTTTTTGCATCGAGTGATGTTAAAACTTGAAGATATATTAAGAAAACCCACAGAATTAATATAATAATTTAATTTGAACTTTAATCTATTACTTAAAAAATGTTTTTAAACTTTTGTAATGCTTAATTTCTTATTCTTTAATACATACACACACACATATAATTTTTTTTTTTTTTTGACACAGGGTCTTACTCTGTTGCCCAGGCTGGAGTGCAGTGGTATGATGTGATCATAGCTCACTGCAACCTTCGCCTCTTGGGCTCAAGCAATCCTCTCACTTCTGGCCTCCTGAGTAGCTGGGTTTACAGGTATATCTCCCCATGCCTGGCTTTTTTTTTTTTTTTTTTTTAATTTCTTGTAGAAAGGAGGCCTCATCATGTTGCCCAGGTTGGTCTTGAATTCCTGGCTCAAGTGATACTCCCGCTTTGGCCCCCCAAAGTGCTGGTATTACAGGCATGAGCCACCATGCTCAGCCTAATACTATTTTAAATAAAATAGATTTATTTTACTTACATTGTAAACTGCACTAAACTTGTTTTCCAGATATGTTGTGGTTGTGTTGCTTTATTTTGTTTTACTTTTATTCCAGAGTTGGAAACTACAACATGGGAAATTGAGAAGCTAGCAATAGTTTTCACTGGCTAACTACTCATAAAGAGTACCTTGAAAGATTTGTGTTATGATTAATGAAGCCAAATTTAAAAAATAGTTTAAGATCAATTGCATATCTAGTTACTAGCTCATAATTTTAGACTTTCTTTATACACATGTGATTTAATCCAAGCATGTATTATTTAATACAAAAATAGTTTCCTTCCTGTGTTACTGTCTCCACTGATTAAATACATCAGAATTTTTTATATCAATTCAAGATTTTTAAAATGAGATGACATTAGCAATGCATTAGGCTTGTTAATATTTTTATTTGTAACTAATAAACTTTGATCTGTTACTGAAAGACTGAAAAAGTTAACTGTTTATGATTATTGTTTAGATCTCTCTGTCAATGTGTGCCTATTGATAAAAGTCATCCAATAACCTTGTAAGAAATAAGAAGAAGAAGAAAAAGAAGAATAATGTAATAAAAGATATCTGGTGCAAATTGAATACAATGAAGTAGTCTATGAATAAAAAAATGCTAATACATGAGAAACTTAATAGGCAAATCTATTGGAATTATAGCCCTTATACAAGAAGAATGACTCATCTTTTCTCATGTTTGTGATGTTCAGCAATCTAAGGAAACAAGTATTCCTATTTGTAGTGAAAAAGCACATGATGGTAAATATACTTAGTATGCTAATGCAAGGAAGGAATATCCAGTATTTAAGTTTGCTGTTAGTGTTATATACAGGGAACACACTCACTATTGGGGAGAAGAGAATATGTATCTCATCTTAGGAGTAGCTGCAACAAATAGACATTGGCTATTTTGATTCATTGACTATTCATATCTCATTCTGGGTTAACATAAAAAGTTACATTATAAAACTTTCATATTTAATGTTTACAATTTGAAAAAATATTTTCAGACTTGAAATATCAATATATTATGGAAATGTTGTAGATGGTCATAACTTGAGTACAAAAAGCTTTGAAAAATATATAATCTGAAGAAATAAATCGATTGGACAATTATAGCAATATTCAGTAAGCCCAATAATTTGTTTTCTGTTTTTGCTTACCTACATTCCAGGTGCAATATTTGATTCTTTCTGGGTTCCTTCTAGATTCTAGGTTTCATGCATCAAAAAAGATCTTGACTGTGTCAGAAAAAAATCTTTCCATTAAAATCTATTAGCTTATTAAACTTCTATCCGAGCTTTATGAAGATAGCCTAATACAAAAGAGATTTTTCAGGTGGAAGATTTTCAGTCTCATTTTGTTGTTGTTGTTGTTGAACAGAATGTAAAACAATTATCCCCACATTTTAAAATATAACCACCCAAAAAGACTAGCATGTGTATTGGTTAAATACTGGCTTGGAAACTTGGCACGTCATCTACTAAAAGTTAGAAAGGGTTTGAAGTTGAAGTAGTTAGGGGTGTGGGGATTGAGAGGAAACCTCTTTGAAAGTGCTGCAGATGACCGTCGAATCAAACCTAGAGAGAGCAGCTTTGGTGTGACTGCTTGGAGAACTGACATGTGTCTCCTGATGTCAAGGACACAGTGAAGATGTTAAACTTAAGTAATCCAAAGGCTGAGAGATTAGGGCTGGTAATTGTTCTATTGACAGAGTTAATAGAGGTTTCCTGAATGGGGTTGCCTGTTTGTCCAGCATTTCTCAAAACTAAGAGTGAGTGAGTGTTTTTCAGGGAACCTTGAGATACAGATGGATCATTTGAGGGAGGCGAAGAGACATCAGTGGAAAGATGCTAGAAGTGTACCATGAAATGCCAAGAGGCTTAAATATTAATTATAAACAGCAAGAGATTTGTCTATTGAAGGACACATTTGCTTATGTAGAGGAACTGCAGGTAAGCTATCCAGGTGATGTGAGAACAGAGGATGCAGCTCTGAAGAAGTAACACAGAGCTACCTTAGAGAAAGGACAAGCTTCAAACAGCAGTATGCCCACAGGGTGCCCTGCTGAATCACCAGGACAGGGGCAGTGAAAGGAAAACTTTCCTGCCATTCACTTATTCTCTCTCCTCCAGCTTTAGTCCTCTTTCTATCTTTGGAGATGATTAAAGAAATTTGGATATAAAAGGGAGGTTCAAGATAAAAACATTATTTTTCTTAAATTGTTTTGTTTTACACAGGACTAGGTATATTATTTAGGAAGAGAGACTGAACTAAAGTGAATTTTCTTCTGACAAAAATAAGCGAAGATTTCAATGACTGAAAAACGGCTGGCATAATCCTTGTGACATGCCATTGATTTTATCCAAGGGGCAGGATAGAATGAAATACACAAAACAGGTTTACTTTGGCAATATGGGAGGTGGGCAGGGGAAAATAAAACTGTATTTTGACTGTGCTCTTCATGTCCTGCTTGTTCCTCATGTTTCTTAAGCCCCAAGATTCAACCTCACTTTTAGTTCTCATTCATTTACTTAGGAATCTTAGAGTTTTGGAGGTGGGGGCTGTATCCATCCATTTTCCCAACAAGGTTCAGCATTCTGAAGAAAGAGAATTTTGAGACAGTTCTTTGTGTTTCCTATAAATTGGTTTCATTCTATGCTATATCTCCAAGAGAAATTTCACAAAGTATTTGGGGTGTGTGCATGAAATACTCTCTTTCCATAGCTAATTTACATTGTCTACATTTAAAAAATTGTTAATCCATTTATTTTATTATAGAAACTGTAAGTTCTCTAATTGAAATTCAACTGCCTTAAAAATGGTATTTTATTATTTTAGAAAATATAACTTCTATATATTGTTTTGAAAGAAAAATATGTCTTCTGGAGAACATGGTATATTATATAAGCACTAAAACAAGAAGCATAATATCGTTTTTACTGGAACAAATAATTTGTATAAATCAGTATATGAGAAGGAAAAACTAATATATTGGGAACTAGAAAATACTAATAATATGAATTTATTTAATTTATGGTTAATCATCATCTGAAATATTCCTCCATATAATTTATTTTCAGTAATGTGTTTCTGTTTAAAAGTCTCAATATATACCGCTGAGTTCAGCAACTGCAGTAAATGGGGCTTTGGAAAATATAGGTTATTCCCATTTTACCCAAGTCGTGTTTCTCAACTGGAATGTTAAAGCCTGTCCTCAAACCAGGTAAACATCTTTTCTGAAGTTGTACTTATGGGAAAAAAAAAAAAAAACTGTTAAAAAACTGTGTGACAGCATCAACGACTTTGATCTTTGCATCTTTAGGAACAAAGCAGGATGGCAAGTTGCCTTTTCATATCATTTCATCCCAGTTAGGAGGATAAAGTTTTGATGAAGGTAATAAATATTTACCTGAATAGTATTAGCTTAATTAGACAACTACAAACGAGAGGGAGAAGTGTCTTTGAAATACATTTTTCCTATGAGAATTAATGTTTTAACTCCATGGAAGTAACAAAGGAGATTTAAAATATATAGCAATAACATATCTAAAAGTGTGTGTGTGTGCATGTATATTCACAGCAAACGACTACCCAGAAAATTATGTAATGTTTGTGTTTTAGTGACACTCCAAGTGAACTACATTTAAGATGAAATGGATTTATTTAATTGTATGTTTTCTTTTCAAGTTGTGTAATTTTAACTGGATATTTTAATTAAAAATATCAATGTTATCATTTGTTATTTTAGCCTCTTATGGCTCTAAATTTGCTTTGAAAATTGATAATCACTCAATCCTATTGTTGCTCTTCTACATTTTCTTGAAGTCATTCAAACCTTCTTTCTTCCTTGTACGCGTCAAAATCCTGATTTGCATTTTAAAATTATGCAAACACATGTGCAAGTACATATGCATGTGTAAATATACATATACACATGTGTATGCTTTATGTGTGTGTGCATACAATATATGTTGTAAGAAAAAGTTTGTTTATTATTTGAAAAAACCAAAAAGCCTTTAGAACCAAAAAAGAATTTGGAATATAGTCATTTTATACCCCTTACTTTGTAATTAATGTCTACATAACTTGTTTTAATCAGGTTGCATTTTTTTCTAACCATTGATTGATGCATACAACCTAAGTGGGATGAATATAAGTTTGTTTTATTTTTATGCGTTTGTATCATAAATTCTGATAACCTGAGGATATATTTTAAATTAAATGCAGCCATAGAATCAAAATCCATATTTCCTGATCCATGTTACGGAAATTGACTGGATTAATAAATCTCCATGGCTGTTTTAAAAATCTTACATTGCCAATATACCACCCAATTGACAGCTGTTACCTAAGACCTACCTAAGTATCAACACTTACGTAATTGATATACTACTTTTAAATTTCATGATAGTTTAAGGGTTTAACAAGTCACTATGAGCTTATCTTACATATGACATTCTGGGCCTTGGGCTAAATCAGCTACCAATTACTAAAGCTGTCTTGGCCTTCAAAAGATGATTTCTAAATATATGGCCTAGTGAAATTTTAGGTTTTGTGCTGTTAGCCTTAATTAAAAGTCTAGGAGTAGGAAGCAAATCACACATACAAAAACGTACTCTGCTATGATGATGATCTTTATCTAGACTCTTACTTTGATTGAGAAGGTGGCTCCTGTAGATATGCATTATCTAACTTAGAAATGTGTCACTTATCTGCTTTTGAAAGCAAGAACATTGCTTCAACAGAGTGCAGGAATCCAGATGAATATTGTTCTTCTTGAATGAACCTGAGATAAAGTTGGCCTAGGCAAGACCTGTGCTATTACCAGACTGAGGAAAAAAACATTCAATGTGTTGTCTCATCTACACAATATTGATATACAAATTGTGTTTGTGATTTTTATATCACAAGTAACTTAAAATGATTAGACTGATTATTCAATGATGTTATATATACCCAAGTTGCGAACCAGAAGTACTCTTTAAACCTTGGATGGAACGTTGATTTCTCTCCAAATCCCCTCAACTATTTTTAGTCAGTCATAGGATAATCTGTGAAAAGACTCCAGGCTTCTTTTCCATTCTCAAGACCCTTGCTTTCCTGCCTACTTCAGATCATCCTCTCAACTATCTTTCCTGTGGATGAATCAGCTGATCATGCATGAGCATTAGCAGAACAAAATTAACGGAATAAAAAACAGGGTGATCACAAAGGTAGCTAGTGTCACAATGTGACATGAATATAAGTTGCTGAGATTTCAGTTCGATCTATGTCTCATAGAATTAAATTGCCTATCAAAAATGTAAAAACATAAAAGGAAAACATAGCATGGAAATGAGACGGGGCCTCACTGTGTTGTTCAGACTATTCTTGAACTCCTGGGTACAGGCATTCCTGCAGTCTCAGCCACTTGAGTAGCTGGGACTACAGGCTCCCACCACCATTCCTGGTTTTAATGACATTTAAATACAGCTATTGACTCTGCCACTTAGTAGCATACTTTTAAAAATAGCTACTCGTCATTTTTATATTCTTAGGAGAAAAGATCTCTTACGTTTCCTCTTTATGCTGCCATAAACTAAGCAATTAAAGTTTTTGATACTAATGCTTATAAATACAAACATTTCTATGTCCAATATCACAGTAATTCTCAAAGCTATACGCAGACTGAAAATTTAGACCCGACTTTTAGTCAGTCATAGGATAATCTGTGAAATTATCTGTGAAATATAGGATATTCTTTTGTTATATTACTTTAAATCCTTCTTTCTTTATCATTCTGGGTTACATTGAATACAAATAAAGGGGCCACGCTCCATGGCTCATGCTTGTAATCCCAGCACTTTGGGAGGCCAAGGCAGGTGGATCACTAGATGTCAGGAGTTTGAGAACAACCTGGTCAACATGGTGAAACCCTGTCTCTACTAAAAGTACAAAAAATAGCCAGGCATGGTGGCAGACGCCTTTAATCCCAGCTACTTGAGAGGCTGAGGAATGAGAATTCTTGAACCCAGGAGGCAGGGGTTGCAGTGAGCCAACACGGTTCCACTGCACTCCAGCCTGGGCGACAGAGCAAGACTGTCTTGAAAAAAATAAATAATAATATTAACAAAACAAATAATATATCTATTTTTGTGTGTTTACTAACAATTATGTGTATCCTTGTAGTAAACGAAGAAAAGTAAAACATGAGTTAATCTACTAGTCATTGAGTTGGAATGATTTAGAAAATGGAAATGTTTTTCAAACTGAGGCCATTGACTAGTTTTAGGTTAGTGAAACTGTCCCATGGCCTTAATTAAAACTTAAAGGATTAGAATAACATAAAAAATATTTTAAGCAACTTTATGGATTGTCAAGCACACAGTGTCCAGCATATTGCCACATTCTTCTTTAGCAATTTCATGTCTTGGACATACCAAAAAAAAAATATCTTCAATGATATGCAAGCTACCCTCTGGAACACACTTTCAGATAAATATTGTCCATCTATTGGTTTTAAAACCAGCTTTCCAGTGAGGCTTGTGCTATCAGTTACCTCCCAACAGAACATGTAAAAGCAAAAGTGGAATAATGAAATATACATGTAGGTATTCACAAATATATTCACAGATGTTCACAAATATACATGTAGATATTTACAAGTATTTACACTGGCAGATATATTTTAGAGCAGGTAGCAGATATTGTCAAATCAATCACATAGTGAATAGTAGGCCCTCTGTATATAGAAAGTTGTACTCTTTCTGTCCTGAAATAAAAGCAAATGACCAGAAGTGTGAAGCACCAGCCAAAATCCAACCTGTACTCTGCCTGCCAAGACTTGCAAATATGTAGTTGTTCCCACCAAAATAAAACATATTTTTCTAGGCACTTTTACATAGGCTGATTAATGGCTTGCTTAAAATGTCCGTATTTCCGTGCCTGTAACCTGTGACTATTTTATCTTCTGTGACAAAAATAACTTTGCAGATGTGATTAAAGATCTTGAGGTGGGGAGATTATCCTGGTTTATTCAGGCTGACCCAATATAACTATAAGCGTTCTAACAAGAGAGAGGCAGAAGATCAGAGTCAGAGAAGGTGATGTGAGAATGGCCAGTTCAAAGGTTGGAATGACATGAGGACAGGAACCAAGGAATGGGACAGTCTTTCTAGAAAATAGAAAAAGGCAGGAAAATCCATTCAGTTCTACCCTAGAGCAACCAGAACAAGGATGGTTCTGCTGACACCTTGAGTTTTTCTCCAGTGAAACTGATTTTGGAATTCTGTTCTCTAGAACTACAAGATAATAAATTTGTGTTGTTTTAAGTACCAAGTTGGTGGTAATTTGTCATGGCAACCGTAAGCAACTAGGATGATGGAGGAGGTTCCAAAGAGTAATAATGTCCAGTTTTAGAGGTATTATGGCTATTATTATTAATTCTGAATAATATTTGTTCTAGCTTCTTGCAACAACAGTTAGTAAATCTGGATTAAACATATACCATTTTGTACTTTATGCTTCGAGTTTCTCATTAACTTTTCATCAAGGAACAAATATGTTTCCACTTTCTATATGGAGCTTTTTCTACTATTTGAACCATCTGAACAAAATTATTTTAAGTTGCTCTCGGTTCCATGCCACATATATTTTTGATAGCATACTACTCTACATACCCTCTAACACTTCTCAATAGATTAGTTTATTGTTAAGAACCACATCTTATGTTCTTAAGGGCAAATAGTTGACTGAAATTTTTCTTGTATGTGATATGGGTTTTAGCTTCTGAGCAGACACTTGACACTCATCAGTGTTGTAGTAATGAGGATAGTAAAAATTATTGTTTTGATGATGTCTCAATGTTGAAAATTGTAAGTGTAAATATATAGAGGAAAGGGATGCAAAAAATCAGTTGTCTTCAAAGAGCTCCCTATTATATGAACATCAGCAAATGTTCATTGAAAAAGAGAAGGTTCAAGACAATTGAAAGCAATCTGATGATACTGCCTAATTCAGGGTATATTTAAGAACTTATCAGATTCTTTAGAAAAACCTCATAACAGACCTTTTCATGGGGGATTTTTATGTCTTCTTTCTGCTCTCAGCACATTTGGAGAATGTCCACCTGCCTGTATACTTCCTTGATGTACACAATTGGTAGCAGCCTCAGGTTTTCTGAGTGCTTATACAAGACTAGGAAATTCCACTCATTTCAAGAATACCACACCTTCAGCAGGATCAGGACTTAGGTCTTCCTGAGATTTATTCCTGGAATAATGTTTAGTTTCTTGAAAGGCAAAATGTCTATATTGCCTCTATTAAACTCAGTAGTTTTCAGTCTTGAAATATCAAACATGTTTGCACTTCTAGCAAAGCTTCTGAATTTTATAGCATAGAAATTGGTGACATTTATGGGTCATTGTTTCCTTACCCTGAATCATTCCCTAAAGTTTATTTAATGATTTTTTGCATTTCAGAAATATTTTCTTGAAGCAATACATTTTAATGTTATTTTTTAAATGTAGAGAGCAAAGTGTTCTTTTTTTTGTCAAAGCAGGGACTCAGTTTTTATTTTTGTCTAATATAACTTGCTACTGTCCAAATGTCCTTGCCTTTAACTCTACTAATTTTAATAATTATATGTATTAATCAGATAATAGAGTCAATTTTCATATCCCAAATTAATAATGGAGGTCATAATGCAAGTTTTGTATTATTTCCCTTTGTTTGGCCTGTCCATGATGATCAAATTAACCTGATCCTCAATTTACATTGTGCTTTATAGACACAAGCGATGTCCAATTATTTTCCTTAATTAAATCTTCCTATCAAAATGAAGCTAATTTCTCACTGTCTGTCATCAGCACAGATAAATTAGAGGCCCATTGTCATTTTCACATTATCACATTGACATTATTTTAAAGATATATATTAAGATTATTAAATTTATTTTCTTCTAAAATGATATTATTCAATTTTTTATAGATTAATAAAAATAATAACTCTCTTTAAAAGAAACCAAAGTAGGTATTATAGTAAATATAATTAACATTCAAGTTTTATGAGAGGCCTAATTTATTATTTTTACATTATACTTTGTTTATAGAGTCAAAGCATTGGCCTTTAGAACTTCCTGCAAAGATGGGAAAATTCTGCATTGTCCAGTACAGTAGCCACTGGCCACATGAGATTATTGAGCATTTGAAATGTAAAATAATGCTCTAAAATGTTATTATATTTAATTTAACCCATTTAAATTCAAATTTGAGTAGCATATGTGCCAAATGGTACCATATTAGACAGTGTAAGTCTAGAGAAAAAAGTTCTGGGCTGTGTTTTAGATTTGAACTCTTGTTTAAACTTGAAACTTATTCACTGGTTCTATAATACTGAATAGTCTCATCACTTCTGTGAGCTTCAATATCTTCATTCACGCAATAACACTTCCTTGGTGAGGATCTACCAAATTCTATCAACTGTGTTAGGTGCTATGGATACAATGATTAAGTCAGAATTGGAGCTTCTTTACATTCTGTAGGAGAAAAAATGATGCCAAAATGCTATAATTTGTTGTTCGATTCAAATTGTAATAGGAGGACTGAAAAGAAAGTACAAAGTCCAATGCAAGCCTATGAGAGGGGAACTTAACCAGGCCTCATGTTTCTGGAAACACTTCCTGGGAGAAGTAATTTTTGAATTTAGTTTAGAATGGAGGTTAAGACGTTTCTAAGTAAAGATAAGTACACCAAATTTGCCATAGATTCTGATTATTGTTAGAAACGTAAAGATACTTTGCTTCCCTAAAAAAATTATGGAGTAACAAACAATATATGAATTTAGCTATCTTTAATCCCAAACAAGGCTCTATTGAATAAATTTTATGAAAATAAAAGATGATTTTATGTTTAAATGTATTTGGAAAAGCTATGTTTAACAAAGATAAATGTCAACATGTTAAGATTTTTTACAACTGTGGGTGTATCTGAGGTATATCTATCTAAACTTTGGTTATACTAGTACCTTGGGTTAAATAAATCTTAGAGAATGCCTAAGTTAAGAATACTTTAAACATTTTGTGATCACAAAAAGCCTTTTATTGATTGATTGATTGATTGTGAGAGTCCTTAGCAACAAAGATTTCATAGTGTAATTCTCCAAAGATAATTTTAAAAGCCCCACATTATGTTTATATTTCAGGTCCTTCTACCTAAAAATTTATAAAAGAATGTACTTTTAGTTTACCTTGGAATTATTTTTATTTATTTATTTATTTATTATTTTTAAATTGCTGACTTGGCTACAGTCTGCTTTGAAATTTTCCGCTATTATATTTTAATGTATTCTCACTTTATGGATAACACTTTGTTGTAATGTGGCCGCTAAGACTAGACTTTGTATTGGGGTTGAAAAAAAATAGTTTGTATTAAGTAATATTAGAATCAAATATAACTTAAAAATAATAGACTGAAAAAGTCTGTTTTCTTTATAGATTCTTGCTATTTGTTTTTAGTTGATTTGAGTGAATTGATTATTATATTACTTTTGTTGTGCTAAATCCAAGTAGATAAAATTATTTCAACATTTTGATATATTTAGTATATTTAATTTAGGTAAAAACAGTTTGAAATAAATTTTTTATATAATCTATAAGGTTAACAATTCATTAAGACTCTTGAAGAAAAAATATGCGTTAAACATTTATTACATGGAAAATATTTTCTTTCTGAATATTTAATGATGAACAATTGTTCTCAGAAAAGAAAAAAGTTAAATCTTATTTTCTAGGAAATTATAATTAAAAGGTATAAAAGGCATGTTAATTTATAGATTAAATTAAAGACTGACTTTTCCATGTTTTATTTTTAATAAAATTTACCACATATTTATACATGTTTGTATTTGTACTTGTAGTTGTACATGCACATACAAACATTTCAGGAAACAACGTTCTTTGTTCTTTGTTGTGCTGAGTAATCATTGCTCACACTTTGGCTAAAGGGTAACGACCTTCTCTCTGTGTTAGAATGTAAGTACATATTTCAATTCTATGAACAAATTATAGAGTTGAACTATTTTGCTAGAACAACAACAAAAATGGGTTTTATTTTTTTTCTATATTGTTTTTCTTAAAAGCATGGACTCATGGTTCTTCAATCTTTGAAAATTTGATAGCGTATCCGCCCAGTGAGTTCTCCTTGCGTGCTGCCTAGACAGAGCTGATTTCTCAAGACAGGGGATTTGCAGTTGAGAAAGAATAATTCATGCAGAGCCAGTTGTACAGGAAACTGGAGTTTTATTATTACTCAAATCAGCCTCCCTGAGCATTCAGGGAGCAGAGTTTTTTTTTCCACTTTATTCTTGATTTTGCTTTATATATATATTTTTTTTATTATACTTTAACTTCTAGGGTACATGTGCACAACGTGCAGGTTTGTTACATATGTATACATCTGCCATGTTGGTGTGCTGCACCCATTAACTCATCATTTACATTAGGTTTATCTCCTAATGCTATCCCTCCCCCCTCCCCCCTCCCCCCTCCCCCCTCCCCCTACCCCACAACAGGCCCCAGTGTGTGATGTTCCCCTTCCTGTGTGCAAGTGTTCTCATTGTTCAATTCCCACCTATAAGTGAGAACATGTGGTGTTTGGTTTTTTTGTCCTTGCGATAGTTTGCTGAGAATGATGGTTTCCAGCTTCATCCATGTCCCTGCAAAGGACATTAACTCATCGTTTTTTATGGATGCATAGTATTCCATGGTGTTTATGTGCCACATTTTCTTAATCTAGTCTATCAATGTTGGACATATGGGTTGATTCCAAGTCTTTGCTATTGTGAGTAGTGCTGCAATAAACATACGTGGAGCAGAGTTTTTAAAGACACCATGATGGGTGGGGGGAAACCAGTGAGCCAGGAGTACTGATTGGTCAAAGATGAAATCATAGGGAGTCAAAACTGTCTTCTTGGGCTAAGTCAGCTCCTGGGTAGGGGCCACAAGATCAGATGAGCCAGTTTATCGATCTGGGAGGTGCCAGGTGATCCATCAAGTGCAGGGTCTGCAAAACATCTTAGGCACTGATCTTAGGAGCAGTTTAGGAAAGTCAGAATCTTGTAGCCTCTAGCTGCATAACTCCTAAACCGTAATTTCGAATCTCGTGGCTAATGTTAGTCCTACAAAGGCAAGAAGGAGGTCTGTTTTGGGAAAGGGCTATTATCATCTTTGTTTTAAACTATAAACTAAGTTTCTCCCTCTATTAGTCAGGATTCTCTAGAGGGACTGAACTAATAGTATATATGTATATACACACACACACACACACACACACACATATATATACACATACATATATATGTGTGTGTACACACACATTTGTGTGTATATATACATATATACGTATATATACACACATATATATGTGTGTGTATATATATATATGGGGGTTATTAAATAGTATTAACTTACATGATCACAAGGTCTCACGATAAGCCATCTGCAAGATGAAGAACAAGGAAGCCAGTCCAAGTCCCAAAGCTGAAGAACTTGGAGTCCGATGTTCGAGGGCAGGAAGCATCCAGTACAGGAGAAAGGTGAAGCCTGGGAGGCTAAGCCAGTGTAGCCTTTTCACATTTTTCTGCCCTCTTTATATTCTGGCCACACTGGCAGCTGATTAGATGGTGCACACACAGATTAAGGGTAGGTCTACCTTTCCCAGCCGCTGACTCAAATGTTAATCTCCTTTGGCAACACCCTCACAGACATCCCCAGGATCAATACTTTGCATCCTTCAATCCAATCAAGCTAACACTCACTATTAACCATCACCCCCACTAAGTTAGTTCAGCCTACACCCAGGAATGAACAAGGACAGCTTGGAGGTTAGAAGCAAGATGTAGTAAGTTGAGTTAGATCTCTTTCACTGTTTCAGTCATAATTTTGCAAAGGCAATTTCAATAGGAAGGAAGGAAAGAGGCTGAGGCTAGCAGTTATTCATATTCTCTAATCAGTGAATTATGGAGCCAAGTATTGAAGAACTTTGCTGAGAAAATTTAAGAAAAAAAAAGCACACAAAAAATCTATTTTTTCTTGAAATATGTAGTCTTAAAATGGACAATGGAATTGGGAGTGTGAAAAAGATTACATAATAGCCCCTGCATTAAAATGACGTTATATAAAAGTCTGCAAGATTGTGCATGGTTAATATGATGATAAGATGCAAGGAATATGAGAGGAAGACGTTAGGATGGATTCGGTTGGTGATTATCCTATTTAACTGGGAAAAAATAGAGGTATGAAAATCATTTTGGAGTGACATGGTGAACTCCATTTTGGATATAATATATTTAATGTTCTATGACACGCTCAAATGGAAATATCTAGTAACTCAATGCAAAATGGGGAAAATTTGGACAAGAAAAAATTGAAATGGAGGAGGTAATTTGTAAATATTGGCTCACATATTTGAAGATGTGAAAATAGTTGTATATGTAGAGGAAATATGTGGATTGAAGCCCCCAGTAAACATCAAATCTTAAGACACCCAAACTATAATGATTTGAGGAGCAAATCCTATTCTGATTTGACTTTTCCTTTTCTCCATTCTCCTCACACTTCCCCAAATTCAACTTACTATGTTCTTGTGTCAACAATTTTTAACACTCTATAGAGTTTGTATATTTTGAATAGCTCTACACAAATATTTGTGGAGTCATTTCTGACACATCTCACTCTTTCTTTGATCCTTTTGAGAACCAGTTATTGGAAACTTACCATATAAAAGTCATGTGTGGGGGCTGGATATACTAATATACACGAGAAATGAGCTGTGATCAGAACGACTCAGAAAACTTACAGAACGTATAGAAGCATAGGGGAAATAGGTTCCTTAACCAGACAGCTATACTGCATATTATCTAAATTCCTTTTGGTTCTCAAATGCTGTGATTCTGATGCTGTGTTTTAATCCTCATGCTACAACTCATTATCCATTTGCATTTCAAAATGTTACTTCCAAAGATAAAATGGGTACACACATAGTTGAAGGGCATTCACACTGCAGCCAGCTTGCCTGTGTTTGAATTCCTAAACAGCTTGTAAGTACTGAGCTTTCTTAGAAAAAGTATTTAATTTTCATATCTGTTTGCTTATAGAATAAAGATTACCATGTGACTTATTTCAGATACTTTTTTGTGAAAATTCAAATCTATTAAAATTTTATATGTCTTGTCACATGGTAGGGGATGAATAAATGTTAGCTATTATTTTTTATTTTAAAATTTTATTCTACTAATTTTTAATTTATATTATAATTACTCATTTATGTATCTGTTGAATTTATCAGATTGTGAATTCCTTAAGTGATGCATGCATCCCTATACGTTTTAATATCTCCAGTACAACCGTTGTGTCAGGTAACTGGATTTTACATAAAATATTGTGATTTTTTTAGGATTCAAAAATGCTGGAAAACTTTTATCAGTACCCATTTGAAACTGTACTTTATTCTGTTAATCAGCCAATTGTTTGATACATTTTAATTTTTCACACATGGCAAATGTTATTCTTCATTGGGAATAGTATACCAACGTTGATGAGCATAAATAATGCGGGAAAGTAGAAACCAATCTGGAATAAAGAGAAAAGAAGAAGGTGGCTCATGAAAAAGAAAACACAGGGCTGAGCACAGGCTTTGTGACTAAACTGAAGGAAATTGACATTCCTACTCTGGGTCCCATGGTTTCACATTAAAGAGGGAGGGTTTGCCAAGGTCAGCTTTTCTTGGTCTGTATTGAATTCTAATCACTTCTGGGAAAGTAGTGAATGTGGAATTTCTTTCCAGGTAATACATGTATGAATTTGTGCCCCAAGTTTTGCATATAACTCCAGTGCTCAGGAATTCTAATGCTCAATCAACTGACTCTGGCCGTCCACAGATCCCAGGTTATAAATACAAGGACTACTATAGGATTTCTAAGCTCCCACACAGGTTTAACAGTCCAAGCTATGAAAGATTTCAGTAGAATTTATTGAAAGAAAATCAAAATGATACTAAATTATAAAAAGGTATCACTTTGGAATATTGAAAAATTATACAGGAAATATGAAGTGAGCTTTAGACTTTGTGGGGAAAACAGGGTCAAACATTGTCAAAAACTTCAGAAGAGTCTTCTAAAGAAGGCTGCCAGGAAAGAGAAGATTACAATCTTTGATAATTCTTGTCAATCACGACTTCTTTGAATAGAAGATTTTATACACACACACACACACGCACACACACACAGACATAAACATATGTGTATATGTGTATACATAGTCTCAAATATATACAGCATAGTTTTTCCACTATCACTTTAAAATATCTGCCTATTGAAAAGTAGTAAACAAATACCAACATAAATAATAAAACAGTTCAATAGATATACAATCATACATTGCTTAAAGACAGAGATACGTTCTGAGAGATGCATCTTTAGGCAATTTCATCGTTTTGTGAAGATCAGAGTTTACTCATACAAACTTAGCTGGTATAGCCTACTACACACCTAGGCTATATGGTATAGCCTATTGCTCCTAGGCTGTAAACCTATACAGCATATTACTGTATTGAATACTGGAGGTAAGTATAACACCATGGTATTTATGTATCTAATCCTATCTAATCATAAAAAGTACAGTAAAAATACAATATAAAATATAAAAAATAGTACACTTCAATACCGCACTTATTGTAAATGCAACTTGCAAAACTGGCAGTTGCTCTGGGTGAGTCAGAGTCACCATTCACTCACCATGAGTTTGAACGCCTAGGGTGAGTGAATTTGAACGCCTAGGGCATTACTGTATACTACTGTAAACTTGATGAACACCAAAGTTATATTTTTGTTCTTAAACAATAAATTGATGTAAGCTTACTGTACCTTCTTTACTTTATAAAATTTATTTTTTAACTTTTCTACTCTCTTTCATAATACTTAGATTAAAACACAAACATGTTGTGCAGCTGCACAAAAATATTTTCTTTATGTCCTTATTCTATAAGCTTTTTCTGTTTCTTTTTACTTTTTAAACTATTTATGTTAAAAATAAAGACACAAACACACACACATTGGCCTAGGCCTTCACCAGGTCAGCATCATCAACATCACTGTCTTTCACCTCCACATCTTGTCCCAGGGGCACTTACATGCATTGAGTTGTCATCTCTTATGATAACAATGCCTTCTTGTGGAATATGTCCTGAATGACCTGCCTGACGTTGTGTAAACTAATTTTTTAATAAGTAGAAGGAGTCCACTCTAAAATACTTGTAAAAAGAATAGTATAGTAAATACATAAGCCAGTGGCAAGGTTGTTTATTATCCAGTATTCTGTACTCTACATAATTGTATGTGCTGTTACTTTTATACCATTCGCAGTAGAGTAGGTTTGTTTACACCAGCATCGCCACAAATACATGAGTAGTGCTTTGTGCTGAAATGTTATGATGGCTACGTTGCCACTAGAACAATAGGAATTTTTCAGCCCCATCATAAACGTATAGGACTGTCATTTTATATGGATCCATTGTTGACTAAAATGTTAGTATGGGGAGTACGACCATATGTGATTTGAGTGGCTTAATATATTTGATTGCTGTGTGCCTATACATTGTTCTGCTAGTCAATTGAGAATCATAATGAAATACACATTTCCCATTTAACTTGGATGACGCAATTGAAAACAACTGAGCTATTTTTGTAATCCGTAACTCAATGGATAAAGGAGAAATATACCAAATTAACCATGCTTTTAAGGCTACTGCAGGAATATAAGCATAGTAACCTTACTAATAACATGTTCACACTTGTTCATATAAATAGACTACCTTGTCATATGCCTGGTAAATATTTTAAGATTCACTCTAGCTTACTTGAAGTAAAATCAGCAACTTACTACAAAGAAACTGCTAAAGAATCTTTAACCTGCAAGAGATTGGAAATGAGCTACTTGCTAAGAAAAAAAAAAAGTAGTTTCTAATTTTAGCTGCTTGGCTGATAAGAAGGACCAAAACAAATCATCACTGGCTGTTCCATTATATACAAGAGTAAGCAATTTCATTGGCCAATATTTCTATTGTATAATAGCCACTTATTCCAGGTAGAAATTCCCAATTGCCTAGTAACAATTTGTTGCAGTATACCTACTCAGAGTTAGCATATGCCAGGGAATACAGGAGGAGATGCGGATGTACTCTTGCAGCTGATTTTCAATAACTGCAGCACTCAGGGAGGAAAAAAAGAATTGAGAAGAAATTGTGAAACATGCTAAGTAAATAAAGTTAGAGTTTAAAATTTTTTCCTTGTATTTTTATCACAATTTCCTATTTTCTATTTCAATTCTGCTAATTTTTCAAACAAATTTACCAAAAACCAAATATTTATATGTGATTTTTTTTTTACTCTGTTTTATGGGTACTATGTAGCCACCAGTTTCCTTCTTCTCTTTAACTGAGAGATGAATCACCAAAAATTCTTTTATCTCTCTGATGTGTACCGTGAGGTTCAAGTGATCCCATGAGGTTCACATGATCCCCATTATCTCTGGAAAGCACTACTAATTTGAACACCTCCAATTGCTAAAGTTTCTGGAGCATGCAAAGAGTACACTAAGTCAGTGGGAGATTACTTCTAACAAATTGATTTAGCAGAAAATCACTCCCCATTAGGATTGTAAGTATTTAAGGTATTTTCTCAAGTAGTAAAAGTATCTTAGGGGGTATATAAAAGGAAAATGGAAAAATAGTCTTGATCATGCAAATGGTAGTTACCATCTGTAACCAATAGATTACCCTGGGATAATTATGGAGGTATTGTCACACTGAGTTTATATTAATCTCTTTCAGCTTTCATATCTAATTATATGGCCATCAACATTAATTGTGTATTCTTCTTCTCTCATTCAAAGATGCTATGACTTTGAATAGGCCAATTAATTATACAAAACCAATTGTTTCAGTGTCACACATACTAACAACCTAGCAACTTCCAAATTTGTCAGGAGAGCTTTGTGTAGATGTTGTCAAGATGACAGAAGCCAACAGACTGTGATAGGAATAACTTAGCATTAAACATCACTATTTCAAAAAATGAGTAATCTCTACAGACAACTTTTTATTAAATTTACCTAATAAATTCATGTTTAGTTTATGGAGGGTTTATTAAGTGATAATACAACACTATGCATATATACAGTGCTACCATGGAAATGATAGGATGGTGCTGATGGCAGAAATAAGGAAACAAGAAGGGTCATAGAAAGATGTGCATAACTAGTAATAGCTAAAATATTATTTTTAAAAGAAATTTTTCCCTTGAGGTTGAGTATAAAGCAGAGTTTTAAAAGAAGTTGAGATAGCCAGGCACAGTGGCTCACACCTGTAATACCAGCACTTTGGGAGGCCCAAGTGGGCAGATCACCTGAATCCAGGAATTCAAGAACAACCTGGGCAACATGGCAAAAAAGTGTCTCTAAAAAAAATGCAAAAAAACAAAAGTAGCCAGAAGTGGTTGTGCATGACTGTAGTCCCATCTACTCAGGAGGCTGAGGTGGGAGGATCCAGTGAGCCCAGGAGGGTGGGGGCTGCATGAGTCATGATCGCACCACTGTACTCCAGCCTGGTCAACAAAACAAGGCCTGTCTTAGAAAATAAAATAAAATAAAATAAAATAAAATAAAATAAAATAAAATAGAATAAAAGTGGGATATTAACTGACGGGAAATTTGAGGCTAACCAAAAGGTGAATCAGAAGCTTCAGAAA